>NC_000005.10:17580548-17883578 GCF_000001405.40 Homo sapiens | reverse complement strand
GAAGTGCGGATGCAAGCACAGGAGCCACAGCTGATGCTGTAGGTAGGTGGAGAGGGACAAGGCCTGAAAACCCTGCTTGCTTTCTCAGCAGGGAGGCCTGTTGCCTGGGAAAAGATCTCAGCACTATGCACCAGCTGGCTGGATATAAACTCAGCACTGTTGGTGGGGCACAGCGGGAGTGAGACTGCCCTTGCTGGCTGCGTAGGAGCTGGGTGAAGCTTATCACTTCTGGCTTCCCTGGCAACCTGTATGAGACAACAGAGACAGCCATAATCCCCTTTGGAACATAACTCCATTGCCTGAGAACCACCCCCTACCCCCAACAGTGACCACAGCAGGCCCCAGCCAAAGAGAGTCATAGCTCAGACACGCCTCATCCTGTCTCCACCTGCTGGTCTTTCTCTACCTGCACTGGTAGCCAAAGACAAAAGACATAAATTCCTTGGAGCTCTACGGCCCCACCCATTTCCTGAGAAATGTGAATACTTACCCTAGCCAACTTAGGGCAAGCTTATATCCCTCTTCTGCTACCACAGCTGGTGCTCTCTTGAAAGTGCCACCTCCTGGCTGTAGGCCAACAAACTCAAGCCAACAACTCACAACAAAACAATCCTGCTCCACAGAAGGAGAAAACAACACCTGCAACATCCTGGCTAACCAGAGGTCCTGAGTCTGTCCATGTGACAACTTCACTGCTAGCATCACCAGCATTCAATAAAACCAGCACACTAAAAAAAATTACAACCAAGGACTTTCACAGAGTCTACCTCACTCCCCTGCCACCTCCAACAGAGTAGGCGCCGGTATCCATGGCTGGGAGACCTGAAGATGAATCGCATCGCAGGACTCTTTGCAGACATTTCCCAGCACCAACCCAGAGCCTGGTAGCCCCGATGGGTGGCTAGACCCGGAAAAGCAATAACAATCACTGCAGTCAGCTCTCAGGAAGCCCCATCCCTAGGGTAAAGAGGAGAGAACCCAGAAATAAAGTCAAATACTTACAGCTAACTGATCTTCAACAAAGCAAACAAAAACACAAAGTGGGAAAAGGACATCTTATTCAACAAATGGTGGTGGGATAATTGGCAAGCCACATATAGAAGAATGAAATTGGATCCTCATCTTTCACCCTATACAAAAATCAACTCAAGACATATCAAAGAATTAAATCTAAGACTTTAATCCATAAAAATTCTAGAAGATAACATCAGAAAAACTCTTCTAGACATTGGCTTAGGTAAAGAGTTCATGACGAATAAATCAAAAGCAAATGCAAGAAAAATAAAGACAAATAGATGGGACTTAATTAAACTAAAAAGCATCTGCACAGCAAAAGAAATAATCAGCAGAGTAAACAGACAACCCACAGAGTGGGAGAAAATCTTCACAATCTGTGCATCCGACAAAGGACTAGTATCCAGAATCTACAAGGAACTCAAACAAATCAGCAAGAAAAAAACAATTCCATCAAAAGGTGGGCTAAGAACATAAATAGACAATTCTCAAAAGAATATATACAAATGGCCAACAAATGTGAAAAAAATGCTCAACATCACTAATGATCAGGGAAATCAAAACCACAATGCAATACCACTACTATGAGAATAGTCATAATTAAAAAATCAAAAAATAATAGATGTTGGTGTGGGTATGGTGAAAATGGAACACTTTTACACTGCTGGTGGGAATGTAAACTAGTACAACTACTATGGAAAACAGTATGAAGACTCCTTAAAGAAGTAAAAAAAGAACTACCATTTGATCCAGCAATCCCACTACTGGGTATCTACCCAGAGGAAAAGAAGTCATTATATGAAAAAGACACTTGCACAGACATGTTTATAGCAGCACAATTTGCAATTTCAGAAACATGGAACCAGCCTAAATACCCATCAATTAATGAGTGCATAAAGAAACTGTGAGATAGATAGATATATAGATATATAAATATAGATATATATATAATTACAGAAATGGTGTGTGTGTATATATATATATATATATATATATCTCTCTCACAGAAATGGTGTATGCATATATATAAAACAGAATACTACTCAGCCATAAAAAGGAATAAAATAATTACAAACACACCAATCTGGATGGCATTGAAAACCATTAATCTAAATGAAGTAAATGAAGTAACTCAAGAATGGAAAACCAAACATGGTATGTTCTCACTTATAAGTGGGAGCTATGCTATGAGGACACAAATGCATAAGAATGAGATAATAGACTCTGGGGATACTGGGGGAAAGGTGGGACAGAGAGGATGGATAAAAGACTCCACATGGGGTACAGTGTACACTGGCTGGGTGATGGTTGCATCACAATCTCAGAAATCACCACTAAAGAACTTATGCATGTAACCAACCACCACCTATTACCCAAAACCGCCGAAATAATAAAAAATAAAACAAAACATAAAACTTTTCTTTCTGTGCCTCCTTTTATGCATGTGCAAAAGTATCTTCAACTGATTCCTAGAAGTTGAAATGCCAAGTCATCATTTATGCACAGCTTCAACTTCAACAGACATTGCCAAATGGTTACGTGTGGTGTTGAGAGCATTTGTGCCATTCAACAAATGCACTGGCCTCTCTGCCTTCCAGGCATTTCTGCCCTACATAGGTTTAGGGGGTACCATATGATTGGACAACAATTAACAAACAGACGGGTTTTGTGATATTTACCACTTTTAAGAGTACAAAGTTATTTCTCATTTTTAATTTTAATTTTAGTTTTTTGGTTTTTATTTTAATTCCCTTGATAGCATATAAGAAGGTTGGGAACTTCATCATCTGTTTATTGGCCGTTCGGGTTTATTAGCCATGAGAATTTCAGCATTGAGGAATTCATATTATTGCCAATTTTTCTATTGCAT
This sequence comes from Homo sapiens, assembly GCF_000001405.40. NCBI lineage: Eukaryota > Metazoa > Chordata > Mammalia > Primates > Hominidae > Homo > Homo sapiens. The sequence goes on along the minus strand of NC_000005.10, from coordinate 17,880,694 downwards.
TGGCTACATTTTCTTAATTGCCATTCATTCTAGATTCTGGATACATATCAATTAACAATTTGTATCTATAAATTATCAATGTCATCTCCTAGTTTGTGTTTCATCTTTTTATTTTGTGTAACATACATTTTGTCTTAGAGACTATGTTTTTAATTTTAAATATTTAAAGGTTTAAATTTACTTATAATTTATAATTTTTGCTTATTTAAAATAGATTTCCTTACCGCTCTCATAAATGTGGTCTCATAATTTTGCCTTTTTTCTTAGTTTGAGTGGTTTGGTAGAAGTAAAAATTATAATTTGGGATATAGAACACTATTCTTATCCCTAAAGGTTAGACCTGTAGTCAGACACATGTATAAAATTTCTTATATAGTAGATTCATTTTTTAGAAGTTACTCAACATTAACATTAATAAATAAAAATGTATTTTAAATATCTAACACTCTCCATCATTTATGAAATCAGTGTTAAGATATTCCAAATAGTGTAGTATCATCTTTAATGTTTTTTTCAAAGCATATTAATTCCAGGTTTTCTAGAGCCAAAAGAAGTGGTTCAGAAAAGAATGAGCAAAATAATATGTCTTATTATTGTTAGTGAGACTTATATAAAGTCAGAAAAACATTCAGTGAAGATCATTTTATTATTTCATGTGATACTAAGTGGACATTTAAAGTATTTAAAGAATCAACAGAATGAGACTTCTGTGCACAATAATGCTAACTGAAAAATTCAGACCAACCCTCCAAACAAAGACACTAAAATATAAGGGTTAATTATCTTTTTAAAAAATCTTCCTAAAAGTAACAACCATCACGTAATTATTTACTACACCAAAACCTAGAAGAAGAAATGAATGAAGCCAGACAAGGTCAGCACTCAAAAAAATGTCAGCACATTTTTTGCCTCTGAGAATATGTATATATATTTAATTATGGGAGAAAAATCCTGAGATATAATTGAATTTTGGTGACGATGCAGGACCAAAGGAAAAACATAAAGTCCATGGTCCCCCTGAGATTTGAAATGTTCAAGCAGGAATCCTAATTTATTCCTTTTCTTTATGCACAAATTTAAAGAAATAGATTTCAGAGTAAGTATGAATCACAATTAAACTAGTCCTCTCCCAAAGTTGCAGTCTAGCTTTGAACATCTGAGCGATGATCAGGAATTCTTCAGCCTAGAACTTAGAGTATAAGAGGAAGGAGGTGCTTCAGTGAACAATTGTGCATTGTCTAGAGCAGAAGTTGGCAAACCACAGCCTCTGGCCACATCCAGCCCATCATCTCTTTCTGTAAATAAAATGGTATTTGAACATAGTTGCAACAATATATTTCCATATTATTTATGGTTACTTCAGCTCCACAGTGGCTGAGTTGAGTAGTTACGGCAAAGACAATATGGCCCACAAGGTCTGAAATATTTACTATGTAGCTTTTTACAGAAAAGGTTTGCCCACCCCTATCTAGAGCACACCTTCTGAGTTACCTTATTCTGATTCTGATATTTTATAGCTCTGTAGGTTATTTATAACCTACAATACTACAGACAAGAATTTGATAGCAATACTCAAATTCTTGTCTGTAGACATGGAAAGCCTCTATCCCCCATTGTGACTGAAGAGAGTTTTATTTCCATTTGCACATTCATTTCCAAATTCCTGATCTTTAAATATGTTTTCTGGATTTCCCTTTGAGCTAGTTAAACATCTTCCCAGTTTCCTAATTAATGAGTTAAATAAAATCCTTAACACAGATTCATTCTTCCATCTGCATGAAGTCATGATTTTAAATTTCTTTTGAAAATTATTTTTAACAGTGCTCTCAAATTGTCACTATTTGAGGTTAAGCTACATATTTGTATAATAAAGTCATTCTTAGACAGCATATATTGACTTAATGATGAAATATGTAAGACTGCTAGGCCATTTTGCTATGTTGGGGGCAATTTTTTCCTGCAGTTTCATATTGAACTATTAGAATTCAGCAGACCAAATTGCGTCAGATCCGCTAGGATCTGATATGTTGAGATACATAAAGCTTATGACTCCATATAAAGACAGTCTTGCTATTTGTAGAGCTGCCACACATTTGTGTCCTAAAAACCTGAGAACTCCAATAAAATGTGTTTTACATGATTTCCATCCAAAGTAAAATGTGGTGTGCTTATAATTTTATTTACTGCTTTGTTTAGTCTGGTTTTAAAGGAAAGGTTCTCTGTTTCAACAAGCTCAGTGAGAGCTAAATCTTGCACTTAAGTTTTACACATCCAATGATGAGACACATTTTCCAATGACGTGCTTCTGCTTTGTACATTTCAAAATGCGTTTCTTTACAACTCATATATATCCAGTGCTGTGTGCTAAAGGAAATGATATGCTGAAATAGATGACAACAACTGAGCTATACATGAACATGACTGTGACACACCCAATTATATCCCCCTGAACACAAACCAATGGTATTGCCGTCTCTACCTCCCCTTAGCTGAATCCCAAATGGACCTGATCCACCCTACATGAAGGGACGTGTGATAGGAAGGCAGAATGAAAGAAATATAGTCTAAACTAAATTGCATTAAAATATTTTACTTCTAAACATACTTCCAGGGTTCTTCATGAGGTGTACAGTAACATGTTGCAGGCAGAGTCTAGGCTCACTCATTTTACGCCTTATGCTGGCTTAAGGCTGGTACCTTGCAGACCTGTAATTACATAATGAATGGTGGTTTCAGAAAGAGGATGCTTCAGGTATCATTACATCTTAATGTAATACAGGATGAAGGACCACAGGAAATGACCAAGATCAAGATTTATTTGATTTCTCTTTTTATTACAAAATTTAAATAAATATTTTAAAAAGAAAAAATCATTTTGTCATGGCATAACAATTTAGCCCCAAATAATATACACCATCTGGTTCCTGAAAGGGAGAAAAAAAGTCCAACTTTCTCAATAGTCAAAGCTAAAGTCTGTTATCCAATAATATGTAGAAAAAAAAAACACACTTTAAAGCCATATGTAAAGTTGAAGCAAATAGTGGTCTCAACTACCTGATTTAAGTTTAACCAAGGAGCTCTCAAAAATAGAAATTGATCTGATTCCTATATATGTATACCTAAATGTTTTTGTGAATTCTTTCCAGGTGAGCAGTTTCTATGACACTGTACCAGTGGCACCCTATTGTCACAGACATTATTATGCTGAAGCTAGATTGCAGATCTGTGAAATTAGGGTATTACAAGATTTCTACAACTGGGAATCAATACAGGATCAGTACTTCACCTGACCCTTTCTCATCACTAAAGCCGCATCATTAGATTGTACATATTTTACTGCATAAGAGCATCTGAGTGTTTGATGTCTTGAATTGCTCAATTTTCCAATAATTTAAATGGACAGATGTCCCACTGTTCTTGATACTCACCCACCGGATTTAAATAGCTTCTTTATTTAAAAAGATTTGTGTCTGCTCTCAAATATAGAGGAATTAATGTTCCACATGAACACGTTTTGTTTGGTAGGAAATCTACAAGCTCTGCAGAATCTCTGGCACAATTTACAATCAATATAATATATTAAATTAGAAGGAACACTCTGGCCAATGTGAATACTGATCTCCAATATTTGTCTTGTGCAACCTATCAGTAAAATATATGTGTTTTCAAGTATAAGTTATATCATTATATGCCATGAATATTAATAACTTTAATACACATAAAATACTTCCAGGTAAAGTTATCATATTTAACATACACATCTACTTTGGCTGTCTCCCCAAACCCCAATAAATAACAGTAAAAATGTAACGTGAATATCATTAAACCACAAAGAAAAATAGAGAGGAGACCACAGCAATAGAATGTTGGAAGCTGAAAAGTACAAGGACTAGGGATAAATGACTTAGGAAGAGAAATTAAAGCTAAGCTAAAGCTAAGTGTGAAAAGTCATTTTATAACATCCTAACTTATGCTGCAAAGTTCCAAAAGACTAAGAAATTTGAGGCACTAGGAATTCACAGAAGTGAGGAAAAAACACAAAACTAAAACTAGAAGCTTTAAAAAATTAGTATGGAAGCTATTCAAGAGCTCCTTTCTCTGTTATGACAAAAGATTGATAAATAGGAGCCGAGTGTAATGGCTCATGCCAGTAATCCCAGCACTTTGGGAGGCCAAAGTGGGAGGATCCTTTGAGGCCAAGAGTATAAGGCCAGCCCACCTAGGCAACACAGCGAGACCCAATCTCTTAACAAAAAAAAAAAAAAAATAGCCAAGTGTAGTGGTGTGCATTTGTAGTTCTAGCTACTCGACAGGCTGAGGCAGGATAACAGCTTAAGCCCAGGAGTTTGAGGCTGAAGTGAGCTTTGATTGTGCTGCTGTATTCTAGCCTGGGTGACAGAACGAGACTCTGTCTCTAAAAAGATTGGCAAATAGTAAGATGGTAAACTAAAAAAGGTAGAAGTAGTTGCATCAGAGGAGGAAAAAAAAATGTTAATGATCTTTGTGAACCTCCTGAATCTACAAAATGCTTTGTATAAAACTAATGCAAATAGAAGAGTTAATATATTTTAATAATTAGACATTACCCTCCCTAATTTGAAGACCACTGGTATAGAAAATGGACTGGAGGAAGTGAATTAAAGGTAAAAGTCCCAGCAGTAAGACCATCATTTAGGGTCAAGAATAGGCATTAAATTGCCACTGCACTAGGCCTCAGGTCACTCTCATCAGGAGTGACAGGAGTCACAGCTGGGGTAGCTGCAGCTTCCATGGAAGTGTTCAGGTCACTCAAGAGACAAAGTTCACACTCAAGTTAGACTGGGTCTCCCCAAACCTGGTGAAGAGTAATACTGAGTGTATAGCCTTCAACTGTTGTCATCACAAATCAAGAGGGGCCCCAAGACTCCAGCCTGCCTCATCTCTACCTATGTTAGCCTCATCACTATTAACTACTCTGAGTCACCTGAAGTCATCTCAATAACCGGACACAATTTCTCTCTGTGTTAGTTGCTCCAAGATCCCTAACCCTCCCATCATTTTTGTTCTTCTACATTCTAAGTTTTCATATTGGGCTCTGAACATCACTACAGCTATTGATTTGAATCATTCTTTTGATGTCCTGTATGAAGCTCATTCTCAACATGTACTAGATTGTACTCTAGATGCTCACCAACCTACTTGATAACAATCCCATCTTTCCATTTTCTCATATTTCACTTGGTGCCATATTGACACTCTCCTTTCTCTCACATCCCACATTCAATCTGCCAGGAGATTTGGTAGGTTAATCTTAAAATCATGTCCATAATCCTCACCACATGCTTTCAATCTGGACTTTGCAACCACTCTTTCTTTCTTGGATTACTGCCATGGATTTCTAATAAGTCTTTCTAATTTTTCCTTGCCAACCATTCCACATTCTATTCCCAATACAGCAGCTACAAGGATTCGTAAGCCAGATTGTGTCATTCTTCAACCCAGCCATGGTTCTCCATATCCTGAATCATAATATCATAGCCCTGACAATCATCTACAATGCCCTCTGTATTCATCTTTCCCCTGACAGCTTTCTGGCCCCACCAATCATTGTTTTCATCAAAGGCAATAAGCATGCTTTAGCCCTAGCTCATTAGCTCTATCTGTACCCATTGCCTGGACCACTCTTCCCCTAATAACCACTTGACTAGCTTCTTTAATTACTTCAAACTCTTTCTCAAATAACAACTACTAAGGAGATCCTTCCTGACCATCTTATACAATTTTTGCATCCTGACAACACATTCTCCACAGCACTCACAATCCCATATTCTGTTCAATTTTTTTCTTTATTTTTTTAACACTTATCCCCTTCTACCATACCAAATAATTTACTTATGTGTGCCTACTAAACCTTTTATTTACTTGGCATCCTTGTCATTCAGTGTTTCTTTCCTTCTGTTAGTGTGTAAGCTCTACAAGGCAGGAATTTTTGTCTTGCTCAACAATATTCTCAATTACCTAGAGCAATGCTGGGCACATAGTAAACACTCAAAAAGTAATTTCTAAAAGGATGAATTAGTGTTACAATAGTATAAGCTAATAGAATACAATATGTAAAACTCATGTGGTGATTGTAAAAACCGACCTGGGGATTCCAGTAAATCAGAAGTTTAGGAATGTTTCAGTTTAATAAGGGAGAGATGGGATAAGAGAGCTCCTCATTTATGGACCAACTATTTTTAAAAATGGGCTCACCTGGCAGGTAGAATCATGGATAAAATCTGCTACTCCAAGATTTCCTATCTTGTCCTAATATTTGGTTGCCACGCAACCTAAGCCAACTGAGCGTTTTTTAAAGGGATAACATATTGTACATGTTCCAAGTTTTCTATGGTGAAGAGGAATTTAGGAAATTACTTGTCATACATAAAAACATGCTTATTTTAAAAAAATCAAACAACCTACAAGTAAATGGAGTAAACAGTGAAAAATCCCCCTTTCATTTCTCCTCTCTCAGTACTACTGCCTTTGAAGATAAAATTACTGTCAAACAGCTTGATATGTGTTATTGCAGTCTATTTCCCAGGTGAACTGAGCATTTAAGCCAAAAACAACTAAGCCTGAAAACAGATTCTAAAATCCTCTTAAAATGGTATTATTGATTCCCTACTGGTTAAGCATATTTTACTGTTAAAGTTTTAAAATTAAATATTAATGACAAAAGTAATTAAATCTTTAATAGTGATAATTCTGTATTAAAGAAAAATTCTCATATTTTATGTTTTTAGTTTATGTAGCTTTTAAGACACTTTTTCTTATTGTGGTAGCAGATTAGTTTATAATTTAAACTTAATATGAATATATAAGTAATTGTTTTATACTCACAATTTTTAACTTGAAATTCCACTAGGCTTACAAAACAATTAGACCTTTAAAATAATTGGAGTCAGCCAAGGCATAAGTTTAATTTTCTAGATTTCCAATAATTATTTTTAAGTGTGGGAATTTTGTTTTAATTTTGGATGAGGAAAATGATACCCATTAAAATAAGAATCAAATGTACTAAAATTATAAAAGATTTTAAAAATAGTAAAATATGTTATATATTTGAATCCTTTTGTAAAACTGCCTTTAATATAATCATTAAAATGTATTAGCTTTACCAAGGAAATAATCAGATATGTAGTTAAAAGCTAAATGATAAATCAGAGTTTTAAGAGTTTTACATTTAAATTTTAGTAAATGGAATATTAATATAAAAAATAAAGCAGCTCTAAGCTAATTTTTGTGCACAGTAATACCCACAAGGACATCTAATTTATTTTTTTTAAAAGTTCACATTGACATAAATGAGTTAAAAAGTTGTTGGAGACATGGTAATTTCGAATAGTCAGTAAGAGGAATAGCTCATAGCTCGACAAAACATTTTTATTGGCATTCCCTTCAACTATCTCTCTTTCACCTGCCTCCTGGAATCATCTTCCAAATACACTGCTTGCACCTAAGTCTTGACTCAGGCTCTGCTCAGAGCGAAAGGCAAATATGGGACAGAACATCACAGTACTCTTAAGAAGAAGACTTCCACTTCCAACCCAGCTGAAGGAACAGTGACTGGATTTACACACTTACCTGAAACAACAAAAAGCTGAAAAGAACAGGTTTGCAATAAACATCAGACAATGAAAGACAGTGCTCCCTGAAAGACAAGAAATAAAGAAAATGAGCTGTACAATTTCCCTAGTTTACAGTTTGGAAAAAAGTTTTCAGCTGAAGTTCAGGAGGGCCAAGGCCAGTAACATTTTTTTTTTTTTTTATTCTGTTTCTTTCTTTGAATAGATAAACTTCCACTACTGTTCTAACGATGCAATTTTTAAATGAGAAAAACTCTGGTCATAACGTTTCTCCACTCCCTCAGCCCCCCAACTTGGTGAGGTGTCATTTACAATTAAAAATTGTATGTATTTAAAATGTACTGGCAGGGCGTGGTGGCTCACACCTGTAATCCCAGCACTTTGGAAGGCCAAGGCGGACGGATCATGAGGTCAGGAGATCGAGACCAGGTCATCCTGGCTAACATGGTGAAACCCCGTCTCTACTAAATATACAAAAAATTAGCCTGGCGTGGTGGTGGGCGCCTGTAGCCATTCTTGGCACCCTTGAGCAAACAAAGATCAAAGAATCATAGATTGATAGATTTATCTTTTATCTCTAGGTTCTGTTTCATTGCTCTATATATCTGTTCTTTCCTGCCAGTACCATATTGTTTTGATAATTTCGTAATACATTTTGAAATCAGGAAGCATGACGTCTCTTGCTTTGTTCTTGCTCAAGATTGTTTTGGCTATTTGGGGTCTTTTGTGGTTCCACATGAATGTTGGCATTGGTTTTGTCTTTCTGTAAAAACATAATTGGGATTTTGGTAGGAATTGTGTTGAATTTATACATCATCTTGGGTAGTATGAATAGACATTTTAACAATATTAAGACTTCCAATCCCTGAACAGGGAATAATTTTTCCATTTCTCTGTATCTTCTTCAATTTCCTTTATCAATTATTTATAATTTTTAGTATACAAACTTTTTACCTCTTTAGTTAAGTTCATTTCCAAGTGTTTTATTCTTTTTGTGATTATGAGATTGCTTTCTAAATTTCCTTTTGGATAGTGTATTATTTTTGTATAGAAACACAATTTTTATATGTTCATTTTGTATCCTGCAACTTTAGTGAACTTGTTTGTTATTACAGGGTTTTTTGTTGTGTTGTAGGGCTTTCTCTTCTTTTTTACCTCACAAAGATACTTTTTTGTATTTTTTTAAGAGCAATTGAAATCTACTCTTCAGGGTTTTCTGTGGTCATGTTGTCTGCAAATGGATATAACTTTACTTCTTCCTTTTTTATTGGAATACCTTTTTTTTTCTTTTCTACTTGTTCTGGCTAAGACATCCAGAAATATGTAGAATAAAAGTGATTAGAGTGGGCCTCCTTATCTTGTTCTTGATCTTAGGAGAAAAGTTTTCTACTTTTCCCTATTGAGTATGATGTTAACTGTGGGCTTAGAGTATATGGCCTTTATTGTGTTGAGGTAAGCTTCTTCTATACCTATTTTGCTAAGAGTTTTAATCATGAATAGATGTTGAGTTTTGTCAAATGCCCTCTCTGTATCTATTGAGATGACTTTTTTTTTTCATTTTGTTAATGTGGAATAGCACTTCCATTGATTTGCATATGCTGACCATTCTTGCATCCCATGGATAAATTATGCTTGGCCATGCTGTGAGATTATTTTAATGTACTACTGAATTTAGTTTGCTAGTATTTTATTAAGAATGTTTGCATCTATGTTTATCACGGATGTTGACCTGTAGGGTTTTTTTCCTTATAGTGTCTTTGTCTGGTTTTTATATTAGGTTGGTTTAAAATTAATGGCAAAAACCACAATTACTTTTACACCAACCTAACACATTATGACATTGGCCTTATAGAATGAGTTTTAAAGTGTTCCCTTTTTAAATTAATGGAGTAGTTTAAAGAGGATTTATATGAATGCTTCTTTGAATATTTGGTAGAGTCAATCTGTGAAGCCATCTGGTCCCAGGTGTTTCTTTTTTGGGGGATTTTCCTATTGCCGATTAAATCTCTTTATTTGTTATCAGTCTGTTAGGGCTGTTTCTTATTGATTCAGTTGTGGCAGGTTGTGTGTTTCCAGGAGTTTATCTATGACTTCTTGGTTATCCAGTTGGTTGGCATATAATTGCTCATAGTAGTCCCTTAAGACCCATTTTAATTATGAGGCACGTATTGTAATGTTTCCTCTTTCATTTTTGATTCTATTATTTGAGTCCATTCTCTCCTATTTTAGGTGGTCTAGCTAAAGGTTTTTCAATTGTTTTTTCTTTTCTAAAAAACAACTGCTTAAAAAATTTTCAACAAAATATCAGCAAAGTGAATTCGCCAACACATTAAAAAGATCATTCATCATGACAAAGTGGGATTTATTCTTGGAATACAAGGATGGTTCAACAAATGCAAATCAATCAATGTGATACGTCATATCAACAGACTGAGGAACAAAGACCGTATGATTATTTTAATTGAAGCTGAAAAACTATTTGCTAAAATTTAACATTATTTCATGATAAAAACTCTAAAAAAACTGCGTATAGATAGAACATACTCAACATAATAAAAGCCATATATGGCAGACCCACAGCTAGTTTCATGCTGAATGGAGAAAAACTGAAAGCCTTTCCTCTAAGATCTGAAACTTGACAAGGACGTCCACTGTCACCACTGTTATTCAGCATAGTACTGGAAGTCCTAACTAGAGCAATCAGACAAAAGAAAGATATAGCTCACATTCAGATTGTAAAGAAAGTCAAATTTTTCTCATTTGCAGGTGATATGATCTCATATTTGGAAAAACCTAAAGACTACACAAAAAATTATTAAAGCTAATACACAAATTAAGTAAAGTTGCAGGATACCAAATCAACATGATAAAATCAGTACCATTTCTGTATACCAACAGTGACCAAACTGAAAAAGAAATTTAAAATGTAGTCCCATTTACAATAGTCACAAATAAAATTTCATACCTGAGAATCGACTTAGCCAAAGAATTAAAAGATCTCTATCATAAAAACTATAAAACACTGATGAAAGAAATTGAAGAGGACACCAAAAAATGAACAGATATTCATGTTCATGGATTGGAAGAATCAATATTGTCTAAGGGTTCAATGCAATCTCTATCAAAATTCCAATGGCATTCTTCACAGAAATAGAAAAAACAATCCTAAATTTTATATAGAACCACAAAAGGCCCAGAATAGCCAAAGCTATCCTAAGCAAGAGGAACAAAACTGGAGCAATCCCATTACCTGATTTCAAATTATACTACAGAGCTACAGTAACCAAAACAGCATGGTAATGGCATAAACACAGACATATGGACCAATGGAACAGGATAGGGAACACAAAAGCAAATCCAAACACCTACAGTGAAATAATTTTCAACCGAGTTACCAAGAATATACACTAGGGAAAAGACAGTCTCTTCAATAAATGGTGCTGGGAAAACTGAATATCCATTTGCAGAAGAATGAAACTAGACCCCTATATCTCACTACATACAAAAATTAAATCAAAATCTATTAAATACTTAAATCTAAGACGTCAAACTATAAAACTACTCAAGAAAACATTGGAGACACTCTCTAGAACATTGGAGTGGGCAAAAATTTCTTGAGCAATACCCCACAAGCACAGGCAACCAAAGCAAAAATAAACAAATGGTATCACATCAAGTTAAAAAGCTTCTGCGCAGAAAAAATAATAATTAAAAAAAACAGCAAAGTAAAGAGACAACCCACAGAATGAGAGAATATATATTTGCAAACTACTCATTTAACAATGGTATAATAACAAGAATATGTAAGAATCTCAAACAACTCTATAGGAAAAAAAATTAATAAACTGTTTTAAAAATCGGCAAGATTTGAGTAGACATTTCTCAGCAGAAGACATATAAATGGCAAAGAGACATAGATAAAGGTGATTAACATCATTAATCATTAGAGAAATACAAATCAAAACTTCAATGAGATATTATCTCACCCCCAATTAAAAGGGCTTATATCCAAAAGACAGGCAATAACAAGTGCTGGCAAGAATATGGAGAAAAGGGAAACCTCATACACTGTTGGTGGGAATGTAAATTATTACAACCACTGTGGAGAACAGCTTGCATGTTCTTCAAAAAATTGAAAATAGAACTACCATATGATCCATCAATCCCACTACTGGGTTTATACCCAAAACCTAGGGAATAAATATATGAAGGAAATAGCTGCACCCCATGTTTGTTGCAGTTATGTTCACAATAGCCAAGATTTGAATGCAAACTAAGTGTTCATCAACAGATGAATGGATAAAGAGAATGTCACGCATATACACAATGGAGTACCATAAAAAAAAGAATGAGATTCAGTCATTTCAACAACATGGATGGAACCAGAGGTCATTATGTTACGTGAAATAAGCTGGGCACAGAAAGATAAACACTGCATGTTCTCACCTACTTGTGAGATCCAAAAATAAAAGCAATTGAACCCATGGATATAGAGTAGAAGGATGGTTACCACAGGCTGGGAATGGTAGTGGGTGAGGGGTGACAAAGAGGTGGGGATGATTAATGGGTACAAAAAAATGTTAGAAGAAATGAATGAGGCCTTGTATTTGAAAGCACAACAGGGTGACTGGAGTCAATAATAATTAAATTGTACATTTTTAAATAACTAAAAGAATATAATTGGACTGTTTTTAACACAAAGGAAAAATGTTTGAGGGGATGGATAACCCATCTTCCATGATGTGATTGTTACACATTGGATGTCTGTATCAAAACATCTCATGTATCCCATAAATATATACAACTAGAATGTACCTACAAAATATAAAAATTGAAAATTAAAAAAAAGATTTTGCTGATTTTTTCCTGTAGTTTTCTCATTCTCTACTTGATTTATTTCTGCTTTAATTTTTATTATTTTCTTCCTTCTCCTAACTTCGGGCTTAGCTTTTGCTTCTTTTTCTAATTATTTGAAGTATAAAGTTAGATTATTTTACCTGAGATATTTCTCCTTTATTAATGCAGTGGTTTACCACAATAAATTTTCCTGTTAGTACTGTTTTTGTTGCATCCCATAGCTACTGGTATGTTGTATTATTTTTGTTTATCTCAAGATACTTTTTAAATTCCCTTTTGATTTCCTCTTTGATCCAATGGCTATTCAATAGTGTGTTGTTTAGTTTCCTGGTATTTGTAAATGTTTCTATTTTCTTGCTGTTTTTGGTTTCTAGTTTCATTTCACTGTGTTCAGAAAAGATACTTGGCATGATTTTGATCTTCTTAAATTTGTTAAGGCTTGTTTTATGATCTAACCCATGTTCTATCCCAGAGAATGCTCTACATGCATTTGAGAAGAATGAGTGCCCATCTCCTGTTGGGTAGAAAGTTCTGTATATATCTGTTAGGTCCATTTGGTATATTGTTGTTCAAGGCAGCTGTTTATTGATTTTCTGTCTGGATGTTCTATTCAATATTTTAAGTGTGATATTGAGATCCTCTACTTTTATTGTTTTGCTGTTGATTTCTATCTTCAGATTTGGCAGTATTTGCTTTATATACAAGTGCTCTGATATTGAGTGTTTATATATTTATAACTGTTATATCTTCCTATTGAATTGACCCTTTTATCATTTCATAATGACATTAGTCTTTAGAGATCATTTTGTACTTTACATATATTGTTTATGATGTAAGTATAGCCACTTTTGTTGTCTTTGTTTACCATTTATGTGAAATAGCTTTCTTATCCTCTTACTTTCAGCTGCTTCAAGTCTTTAAATCTAAAGTGAGTCTCTTGTAAATGGCATATCACTGGATATTGTATTTTGTTTAATTCATTCATCCAAGCTGTCCCATTTGATTGGTGAATTTAATCCATTTACATTTATGGTTATTATTAATAGGAGATAACTTAGTACTGCCATCTTGTTGTTTTCTATTTTGTGGTTGTTTTCTCATTCTTTTCCTCTGTTGCCATATGTCCTTGTTATTTGATAATTTTTTTAGTAATTTGCTTTCATCCTTTTTCTTCTTTCTGTATTAGAGACTTTTCTCCTGTGATCAGCTCAAAGCTTGCATAAAATAGCTTGTAGCTGTAATTCTCTGTTTTAAGTATATAAAACACTGTACTTTTACTCCCACATATATACATAATTTATATTCTTGTAGTCAGTTTCTTTTTATATTGTGTATCTATAAACAAACTTTTATCTTTTAACTTTTATAATAGAGTTAAAACTAAATTACACACTACCATTACAGCGTTACATTAATCTACATATTTCTGCATATTTGCCTTCATCAATGAAATTTATGCTTTCATATTCTTTTCCTTTGCTGTTCAGCATATTTTTGTTTCAATTTGAAGAATCCCCTTAAGTATTTTTTGTAAGGCAGGTACAATGCTAAAAAACTCCTTCAGTGATTGTTTGGATGGGGAAAACTTAATCTCTCCTTAATTTTTGAAAGATGGTTTTGCTAGGTTTTTTCTCTTCTCTTGCTAATTTCAAAATTCTCTTTGTCCTCAAGTTTGGCTACTTAATTATATATATATATATATATATATATATATATATATATATGTAGTCTTCTTTGACTTGACCCTTGTATTAGTCTGTTTTCATGCTGCTGATAAAGACATACCCAAGACTGGGTAATTTACCCCAAAAAAGAGCTTTAATGAATTTCTGTTCCACATGGCTGTAGAGGCCTCACAATCATGGCAGAAGGCAAGAAGGAGCAAGTCATATCTTGTGAGGATGGAAGCAGGCAAAGAGAGAGCTTGTGCAAGGAAACTCCCCTTTTTAAAACTATCAGATCTTGTGAGACTTATTCACTATCATGAGAACAGCACAGGAAAGACCTGCCCCCATGATTCAATTACCTCCCACTGGGTCCTTCACACAATACATGGGAATTCAAGATGACATTTGGGTGGGGACACAGCCAAACCACATCATTCCACCCCGGGCCCCTCCCAAATCTCATGTCCTCAGATTTCAACATCAGTCATGCCTTCTCAACATTTCCCTAAAGTCTTAACTCATTTCAGCATTAACTCAAAAGTCCACAGTCCAAAGTCTCAGCTGAAACAAGGCAAGTCCCTTCCACCTATGAGCCTGTAAAATCAAAAACAAGTTAGTTACTTCCTAGATACAATGGTGTTACAGGCATTGGGTAAACACAGTCATCCCAAATGGGAGAAATTGGCCAAAACAAAGGGGGTTCCAGGCCCCATGCAAGTCTGAAATCCAGCAAGGCAGTCAAATCTTAAAGTTCCAAAATCTCATTTGACTTCATACCTCATATCCAGGCCATGCTGATGCAAGAGGTGGGTTCCCATGGTCTTGGGCGGCTCTGCCCCTGTTCACTATGCAGGGTACATCCTCCCTCCTGGCTGCTTTCATAGGCTGGCATTTAGTGTCTACAGCTTTTCCAGGCACAAGGTGCAAGCTGTCAATGGGTCTACAGTTCCAGAGTCTGGAGGATAGTAGCCCTCTTCTCAGAGCTCCACTAGGCAATGCACCAGTACAGACTCTGTGTGGGGGCTGTGACCCCACATTTCCCTTCCACACTGCCTTAGAAGAGGTTCCCCATGAGAGCCCCAAACTTCTGCATGGACATCCAGGTGTTTCCATACATTCTCTGAAATCTAGGTGGAGGTTCCCAAACCTCAATACTTTACTTCTGTGCACTCTCAGGCTCGATGCCACACAGAAGCTGCCAAGGCTTAAGGCTTGCACCCTCTGAAGCCCTGGCCTGAGCACTATGTTTGCCCCTTTCAGCCATGGCTGAAGCAGCTGGGATGCAGGGCACCACGTCCCCAGGCTGCACACAGCATGGGGACCCTGAGCCTGGCACACAAAACCACTTTTTCCTCCTAGGCCTCCAGGCCTATGATGGGAGAGACTGCCAGGAAGACCTCTGACATGCCCTGGAGACATTCTCCCATTTGTCTTGGGGATTAACATTTGGCTCCTCCTTAATTACGCAATTCTCTTTCTGCAGCCAGTTTGAATTTCTCCTCAGAAAATGAGATTTTCTTTTCTATCACATTGTCAGGCTGCAAATTTTTCAAACTTTTATGCTCTGCTTCCCTTTTAAAACAGAATGCCTTTAACAGCACCCAAGTCACCTCTTAAATGTTTTGCTGCTTAGAAATTTCTTCTTCCAGATACCCTAAATCATCTCTCTCTAGTTCAAAGTTCCACAAATCTCTAGGGCAGGGGCAAAATGTTGCCAGTCTCTTTGCTAAAACAGCAAGAGTCACCTTTACTCCAGTTCCCAACAAGTTCCTCATCTCCATCTGAGACCACCTCAGCCCGGACTTTATTGTCCATATCGCTATCAGCATTTTGGGCAGAGCCATTCAACAAGTTCTAGGAAGTTCCAAACTTTCCCACAATTTCCTGTCTTTTTCTGAGCCCTCCAAACTGTTCCAACCTCTGCCTATTACCCAGTTCCAAAGTCACTTCCACATTTGCAAGTATCTTTTCAGCAGTGCCCCACTCTACTGGTACTAATTTACTGTATTAGTCTGTTTTCACACTGCTGATAAAGACATATCTGAGATTGGGCAATTTACAAAAGGAAGAGGTTTAATGGACTTACAGTTCTGCATGGCTGAGGAGGCCTCACAATCATGGTGGAAGGCAAAGAGGATCAAGTCACATTTTACATGGATGATGGGTGGTAGGTAAAGAGAGAGCTTGTGCAGGAGAACATCTCTTTTTAAAACCATCAGATCTCATGAGACTTATTCACTATCACAAAAACAGCATGGGAAAGATCTGCTCCCATAATTCAATTACCTCCCGCTGGGTCCCTCCCACAACACATGAGAATTCAGAATGAGATTTGGGTGGGGACACAGCCAAACTAAATCAACCCTGTTTGGAAATCTTTCAGCTTCCTCAATCTGGATGTCCATTTCTCCCCCGACAAATTTGGGAAGTTTTTAGTCATTTTCTAAAGAAGTTTCTTCTTCTTTCTCTCTTTCTCTTCTCCTTCTGATATTCCCAAAATGCATATATTGGTTTCTTTTACAGTGTCCTAAAAATCACATAGAACTGTCTTCACTCTTCTTGTTTCTATATTTTTCCTCCTCTGACTGGATAATTTCCAAAGAACCATCTTTGAGTTTGTAGGTTAATTCTTCTGCTTGATTGAGTCTGATGTTCAAGCTCTATGTTTCATTTTTTAACTTCATTCATTGTATTACTCAACTGTAGAATTTCTGTTTGGTTCTTTTTTATGATTTCTATCTCTGTTGAACTTCTAAGTTTGTTCATGCATTGTTTTCCTGATATGGTTGTGATATGGTTGTGTTGACTGTCTGCCTGTTTGTTTTATAGCTCACAGAGCCTTTTTAAAACAATTATTTTGAATCTTTGCTTACATAATTTGTATATATCCATTTCTTTGCAGTTGGGTACCAGAAAATTATTGTTTTCCTTCAGTGGTTTCAAGTTTCCCTGATTTGTTTGTTTTTATTGCATTGATATCTGCACATTTAGGAGAGCATTTACCTCCTCCAGGATTTATGGATTGGTTTTGGTGAGGAAAGATCTTCACCTACAGTGGGAGCAGGGGTGTTAGCTGAGTAGGGTGAAGTGGTTCTGGCTCTGGACACACTGATATAGTCTACTTAGCTCCATCAGCTGAGGTCAGAAGACCATTGGGTTCCTCAGCAGCCAAGGCTGTGGATGTCCATGACAGCTGTGAATGTTGTTGAGGCTCTCAGTGGAGAAGGCTGCTGGGGTTCACCTGTTCTCTATTTCTCCCATAAGTGGAAGTTTATGGTTAAGGGTATATTTCTTAGTGACAGATCTGACACACAGGAATGCTGATGGCAGTGGTCTTGCCAGTTTGTGATGCACAGACACTCACAGGATGGCTGCACAACCAAGGTACAGAGCATGGGCTCGTATGGAATAATTATGACTCCAGGGCCCAGGGCACAGGTGCACTTACTGTAGTGGTGGCTCTGGTGTTTGAAGCAGACATGATAGGATTCTCATTGGCGGAAGCAGTGAGGATTTCTCTGGTGTCCATGAGGGTTACTGAGGTCCTCAGCAGCAGGCCACTGAGGACCAGAGTGGTACCCACGTTGTGACTGACACTTACAGCTCCTGCAGCTCTTCTTTGTTCCTAGCTGTCTCCAGACATCCCAGATATACTGAGCATGCTGATCTTCCCAGCAATCTGGGTGCTGTGAAACTGAAGCAGGTCATTAGAGAAGTAACCTGAAAAGATAGGGTAGCTGGTAGGTCACTTGCTATACTTTTTCTCCATGAGGAAAACTTCTGGGCCAAGGAGAATCTTTTTGGCATAAGCCATGTTGACATGGAGGATGGAATGATGCAGGCAGAATGAAACCATACTCCCTATCCTTTCTGTGGAGTTAGTCTCTGTTATTTTATTCTACTGTGTTGCCACAGTGTCCTAATTTGGCTGCTGAGCTCTCTCGGGGCTATTTTAATTCATGGGGAGTTAATTCTTTTTTATAGGGGACAAAGACTGGGATCTTTTACTCTGCCATCTTGCTGATATCACGTCATAATGTTTCTTTAGTGATTTTCAGAGAAGGAATTCTAAATGTATAAATATTGCTTTCAGAATGTTTCTCTATCTCAGTCCAGGTGGTTACTTCTATGTCCATGTCTCCACATACTCTAAGCATGAAAGGGAAAGTCATAACTTCCACAAACCCAGAGAAACAAAGCAAAACGACTCAGGCCTAACTACAGGAGTTGGTCAGGGCTTACATTTCTCCTAATTATCTATACTTCTATCTCTGAGCCTTCCCTGCCTCTCCTGATTTTACCAACTCACTTTCACCTTTCCTCTAGCAACTGTAACTTACTTCAAACCTATGTTGACCCCAAGTCATCCACAGTCGCTTTTAATCTTGATTTCTGGCAAACACCACTCTCACCAAGCAGTTTTAAATAATAGGCTTTTATTAAAGATTCAAAAAGTAACAGTACAGTGTTACATAGAAGTCTAACAGAACTTAAAACATAAAATTGAGCATTTCATGTCCCTTTGTCTAAAGCCATTCACGCTACAGGGAGTTTCTCACTTCCAGAACCCTGCCCTATCTCCTCTATCTCTTTACAACTTCAGCTTCTTTCACTTATTCCCTTTCTCAACTAATGCCAGAGTAAGCACAAATTTCTTCTCAATTTATTAAGCAGAGCAACACACACACATGCAAGCATGCACGCATGCACACATGCACACACACACACATGCACACACACAACCATAGATATTTTTGCTAAAATTAATAAAATGATACTTGGCTAACCAGTTAGGCTAAAAAGTTAGTTTATGTGGGAGGAGATATTTTTACATCTAAGCTGGGAAAGCACATAAAGTCACAAAGGTCCCTCCCCTATAAGATATGTTCTAGCCTTCAACATGTCAAAATGAGCTCTATGTTGGGTGGAAAGAAAATCTTGTAGTAATTATACCTCTCAGTAAACAATCGAGGTACTCTCTTCAGAACATTCTTTATCTGGAAAGAAGTTTCTCCTAGGTGGTCACTACGTTTAGGTTTTCTGAAATTCTAGGGAAATGCCTGATACATGGCGGGTCCACAGCAAATCTCAGATGAATTTGAAAGGGTGTAGTCTGGGTTTTCTGCAGTCCACTTATGTTTTATTTTTATCAATTTCATTTGAAAATATTGATTTTATGTCTGAGAACTATGGTCACTGCTCAGAAAGATAACTGGATCATCCATCTATTTTGAAAAGTTTTGACTTACAGACCTAAATAATTTCACTGCAGCAGTAAAACCATCATGCTTCTATGAGGGAAAATCTAAGTTGAAATAGAAAATATTAGCCATGAGAGGGAATAAATGTAAGATATTTAAGCATGAAAGGGAAAGTAATAACTTCCACAAACCCAGAGCAGAAAATAGGCCATCTGTCCACACACTCTGCCACTCAGATCCTCTGCGGGCTTGGGCCGCTGAGACTTTTAGTGTAAATACAGGATCCCCAAGCCCACAGGGAGGTCTTTTCTGGTCACAAAGTTAATTGGTAGCATCTACTCCTGATTGTTTGACTACCTATTGAGGTATTTATCATCACAAAATCATAAAGTCACTTCTATCTCTACTTGTTTTTCTCCTCACAAGAAAAATGTATAAATATGATCTCAATTATGAAAGTTATTATGAGTCACTGATATGCTGACTCACCTCTGTTTGCATTAACATTTGCTAACACTGTGAATAAGGCTCAACCCCTCACAAGCACTCCTACAGCAGAGAGAACAAATAATCAAAGTTTTGGTACTGTCTTCTCTACTCTAAGCCACAATTAACATCCAATATGCACCCATCTTTTAGGCCATCTGTATATAATAAAATATTAATTTTGCAACTAAAAGAAAGGAGAGTATAGCAAATATTGAGGATATCACATCTATGTAAGTATCTGTTGTGGTTGTGAATGACATATGATCAGTGTTAAATCCTGAAAGGATTATGCACAACGTCCAGTCCTGCTGTATTAGTCTGTTCTCATGCTGCTAATAAAGACACAAATTACCAAGACTGGGTAATTTATAAAGAAAAGAGGTTTAATTGACTCACAGTTCTACATGGCTAGGGAGGCCTCACAATCATGGCAGAAGGTGAATGAGGAGCAAAGTCATGTCTTACATGGCAGCAGGCAAGAGAGCTTGTGCAGGGGAACTCCCATTTATAAAACCATCAGATCTCATGAGACTTATTCACTACCACGAGAACAATATGGGGGAAACCTCCCTCATGATTCAGTGATCTCCACCAGGCTCCGCCCTTTACACGTGGGGATTATTACAATTCAAGGTGAGATTTGGGTGGGGACACAGCCAAACCATATCACCTGCCTTCTCCATTTGAAGGGTGACTAATCAAAGCCCAGGGGAAAGTGACCATAGACCCATGGCTAAAGCCAAAGACTCCTAAATATCAATTGACTTCTCTATCCAGTAAATATTACATATTTTATTGATTATGTTGTAAAAATGGCTATAAGAAAAGGGCAAATTCTAATAGATGTTTGGATATGATTGAAAAAATGCAAAGTCCTAAAGGTTTTCTAAGAATTCAATTTCCTATAAGGCTTCAATTTTTCTATGAAGGTACTCCCACAGATTAATGAGAGGAGAAGGTGGTACAAGCATAGATATTTTCCAAAACTTTTGATGTCAAGAGCCCAATAAATCTATCTGTGATAAACTGAATATTTGTGTCCCCTAAAAATTCATGCATTGAAATCCTAATCCCCTGTGTGATGTTAGTAGGAGATGGGACCTTTGGATGTAATTAGGTCATGAGGGTGGAGCCTTTACGAATTTGATTAGTGCCCTTATAAAAGAGAATCTGGAGAGCTCTCTAGCTCTCTTTCCACCATGTGAGTATATGAGAAGTTGGCTATCTGCCACCTGCAAAAAGGCCTTCACCTGTGCAGGCACCCTGGTCTGACCTCCAGCCTCCAGAATTGTGAGAAATTAATTTCTGTTCTTCATAAACTGCCCAACCTATGGCATTTTGTTATAACAATGTGAACTAAGTCACCAAAATTTTGTCAATCATCACCAAATTCTATAGAAAATCTGTTGTTGATTTCTTTTAGAAGTTGAAGAAGCTAAATATAGACAATGTGGATAGATTAAGCTTTCACTGATAGTTAAAATAATCCAGATAAGCAGTAGATATATCAATGTTATTCTCAACTGATTTGGCTGATAAGATAGATAGATAAATAGAAAGAGAGAGACAGAGAGAGAGAGAGAGAACATCCAAAAAGCAGGGAGGAGAAAGTTGGTCAACTTAAACTATAATATAAAATAGTGAAACATATTCTTAAGCAATTTAGCCTAGGAAATCAATTAAACATCTGTAAAGGCTTGTTTACAATGTACAATCTTGCAATAATAGTGAGACCACATCCCTCACTAAATCTATGTTAAATTTCTTAGCATCTGTATTTGACTCCAACAAGAGACCGCTATGGGCATCTAAACTAGCTTTTATTGACATTATTAAAGACTAAAAGCCTTTCATCAATTATATATTGCTACCCAAAATAAAGTAGTAGATGGAGTACCCCCAAATTTGGAAGGCTTTGTAAGGACACAAGCATATCTTTCATTTGGGAGGATAATTTTGGAAAAAATAAATTCTTACTTTACATCCAAGTATGTATTATAATTGCTAAACCAAATAAAATGCTTTAGTACCTATTCTTTAGAGAACATTTTGTTTGAAGCTATATTTTCCAAAGCATTTAAAAGCAAATGGAAGGCGTAATCATGATATGTTAGGCAATTTGGTGAAGCCTGCATTTTGAGATGTTTTGGGTCATCATATTCAACATGAATTGAAAGAATTAGAGCCAATGGGTAGGAAAAACAATTAAAGATCAAATTTACTGGTTCAATTCAAATTGCACAAAAGCCTAGACTAACATAGTGAGAGGAAAGGAGAGAAAAGAAGATAAATATGATTCAAAGACAGTAAAGGCAGCAATAATTGGACAGATAACTTCTTAAGAATAAGGGCAAAAAGCTAATATGTGTCTGAATTTTCTAGCTGGAAGCACTGACATAGGTACTGTTTATAATAAAAACGGAGAAAATTTATGCAATATCTATGGGCACCTATATGAGAGCTGGGAATTTGTTGTTGGGCTATCTCACATCCTAGAAAATATTAGTTCATTCATAGAAAAAAAATGGGAGGCAGAGATTTCTGAACAGATTACAAAATTTTTCTTTGAAAATACTTTTGTGAAAGCTTGAACCCTTTGAAAGAAATTTTATTTACTCAGATTTTTTTCAGGTAAAATTTACATATAGAAAAGTTCACCATTTTTAGATATACAGGTCAATGTGTTTTGAAGAACATAAAATGTTACATAACCATTGCATTAGTCCTTTCTCACACTGCTATAAAGAAGTACCAGAGACTGGGTAATTTATAAGGAAAAGAGGTTTAATTGGCTCACAGTTTTGCAGACTGTACAGGAAGTATGGTGCCAGTATCTGCTTGGCTTCTAAGGAAGCCTCAGGAAAGTTGCAATTATGGTGGAAGGCAAAGGGGGAGCAGGTACATCTCACATCTCATATGGCCAGAGCAAGAGGAAGAGACAGTAAGGAGGGAGGTGCCACAGCCCTTTAAGCAACCAGATTTTGTGAGAACTCATTCACTGTCATGAGAACAGCACCAAGGGCATGGTACTAAACCATTCAAGAGAAACTATTCCCATGATCCAATTACCTCCCACCAGGCCCCACCTCCAACACTGAGGACTAAAATTCAACATGAGATTTGAGCAGGGACATGGATCCAAACCATATCAATCACTAACACACCTGAGTATAGATCATTTCCATTTCTCCAAAAAGCTTATTTGAGCCACTTTGTAATCAATACCCTTCCCTCACCCTTAGCACCTGATAAATGATCATCTGGTTTCTGTCTCTGTAATTTCTCTGAAATGTCAATAAATGGAATAGTGTACTATGTAGTTTTTGTGTTTGGCTTTTTCCATTATAATGCTTTTGACCTGAGCCCATGTTGTTACATGTATCAGTAGTTTTTACTTTAACTATACTATATGAATATACCACAATTTGTTTATCTATTCATCAATTAATGGATGTTTCGGCTATTTACAATTTGGGGCAATTATGAATAAAGCCACTGTAAAAATTTATGCCTAAGACTTCATGCAGATAAATGTTTTTACTTCTTTTGAGTTAATTCCTAGAAGTGAGATTGACAGATCACATGCTAAAGATATGCTTGACTTATCAGAATCTGCCAAATTATTTTCTAAAGTGATAGAAAAATTTCACAAGCCTAATTCTAAAGGGAGAAACTATAAAACTTCTAAAACTTCTAGACAAGAACCGAAGAGAGAATCCTGTAACTTTAGGTTAGGCAAATATCTCTTAGAAGAAGAAAAGCATCCACTATAAAAATATATATAAATTGAAATCACTCAAAATCTTTGGTTCTTTGAAAGGCACTGCTAAGAAAATGAAAGGACAGACCACAGACTAAAAGGGAGACAAAGTTGAAACCCCTCTTAGGGGCCTGCCAGCATCCCCAAAAAGCGTGGAAAGAAAAGAAAATCTTGAGTTCCTTCAAGGGAAATTCAAGGCACCTAGCTAGCTCTGAGAAGTAAATGAACAATCTGATAAGCAAGAAGGTAATAACAGATTAAACCATAGCCAAAAATGTTAGAGTCACGGGATGTTTGGTCCCCTATAAAAACTAGAGATAACATCTTAACATATGTCCTCGAGCTGTTTTTTCAGAATACTGGACCCTCATCAAATGGAAAATGCCATCTGCTAGCACATAGACTTCAGATAAAGTGGAACTGAGGACTGAACTCTTACCAACAGTCTTTGTTCTAAATCTCTTTTAGAGGGGCCTGGAGGAAGTCACATCCACATGCCAGACCTTAACATTCCTTTCTGTGACCCCAAGTTTTTAGACAAAGCTTTTCTTCCTTAATCAATTGCAAATCAGAGGATCTTTAAATTCACCCATGTTCTGTAAGCCCTACCTAAAAGATATCCCTCCCTTTTAGGTTAAACCAATAAATAGCCTCCTGTGTGTATTTACAATTTTGCCTGTAACTTCTGCTTTGCTGAAATTTACCCCTAACTTAAAAAACTCTTGCTTGGAAGCCATGAGGGTGGTCAGGTCTTAAGTGTGAGCTATCCAGTTCTCCTTGCTTGGTGCCCTCTGAATAAATGCCCTCTTTTCTCTAGCTGCAAAATCTTGGTGTGGATTTTTGGCTTTCCTATGCCAGGCAAGTTGAACCAGGTTTGGTTCTGTAACAAAGGAATATATTTACAAAACACATATCTGATAAAGCATGTGTATCTAGATTACATAAAGACTTACAATTGTATAATAAGAAGATAGCAAATGAAATTTGGATTAAAGAATGAATAAACATTCACCAGAGAAAAGATACGGGTAGCAACTAAGAAAATTATGTGAAAGTTGTTCAAGATTGTGAATGATGTATTCAATGTAGGTAGTGACTAGAGAAATGCAAACTAAAACCATAACCTCTATACACCTAGAGAATTGCCTAAAATTCAAAAAAAAAATTACAAAGTGCAAGTGAATATAAAGAACAACTGGAACATTCATAAAGCTTGACCTCTTTATTTTTTGTTCCTGACGGTGGATTGATACTGATAATATAATAGTCTTCAGTGAGAGATAGGATCTTTTCTTCTACAACAGTGCTCAAGAACCATCTTTTACAAACAAGCAGACAAAATTCTCCCATTTTCAGTAAACTTGTTTTGCACAAGACACTTCTATGAAAACATTGATTACAATTAGTTTATCTTGGAGATCAAGGTCCCTCTAACTTCTCTTTATATATAATAGATATACTCAGCTTGAAAGACAGAAATAGAAAGAGAGAAAGAGAAAAGAGGAATAGAGAAAGGAAGGAAAGGAGAGAGAAGGTGTGTGGTGGAGGAGGAGGAGAAAGAGAAAGAGAGAGAGAGAGGAGATCTCCTTCTAACCCAGAGGCTCAAATAACATAAAAGTAAATGTGTCCATTGTCCTGAACTATCCAAATAAAACAGGATAATTTTATATTTTTAAAACTACCTCCCTATTGTAGATTGCCTTCTATCCAGAATGATAACATTTGGGATTTTCCATTTTTAGTTATCTTTTCTACAACAGATCTCTTAGTTACAGATTATATTTTAATTGTCTCTACTCAGTACATTGGGTAATAATAAAACTAGGACTCCTTTATTGTATGTAATATTGAAACCAGGAATTACTAAATTAAGAGGTCTGATTAAGAGATTCCTTTTCTATATACCTAACCCACATCAAAATGAATACTTCTGGCTGAACTGAAATTGGCAAGAGTTGTTTGGGCAGTTATATAACCCTCCATTCACTTTGCCTACATATGTCCCCACTGGCACTCACTGCTGGGCTAAGCAGAATTTAAACCAGGAATTTGCAGAAGTCAGTACTGAAAAGCAGCAAGGAAGCAGCAAGGAATCAGCAGGTTCAGAACCTGGTAGAGGCCCAGGTCACAAGGGTGAACAGGGGCATCCAGGGGTCAAGAACATCCAGAGCCAAGTAGGACAGACACCAAATGTCATGGTCAATAACTGGAGCCAAGGAGCCACCAGGAGCCCAGGAAGCATCCTTGATGACACAACACAGGCAACAGTTTCTAGAGATATCAAATTCTCCAGGATACTCCAGGAAACTTTTTTAAGTTAACATGCCTGAGACAACTCCAGTTCTATAACATCGTAAAGATGCTGTTCTGACAATAAAAACCTGTGCTTACTGTGCATCTTTCTATTGTTCTTCTGGTTGTTTATAATGGTTATTGTCTCTGTCAATGAGCACAGCGATATTATTTTATATCTTCCCTGCTTCTTTCTTCAACGTGATCATTGTTAACTCTTCAGAATCATGCCATACTCACTTTTGCACATCCCTCCTAGCCATATTGGTATATCACACAGATTAGATACTTGATAAAATATTTTTTACTAATTTTTATTCATAAATTTAGAGAGCTCATTTGATGTAGAAGCAGCTCAGCTGAAAAATTTCTTGATGATGACAAATAGATATCATTCATAATTGAACCCAAGCAAAGGAAAACTTTCCTAAACATTAGAAATAATAGGTTTTTTGACAAAATAATCCATAACTCAGGGTTGAAAGAGGAAGTGATACGGAAGCCCTGTGGGAGATAGCAGCATAACTTTAATTAGAAATAGACAATTTAGATTCTAGCGTTTTATTACTAGGTATATTGAGAATTACTTAAATTTTATGAGCCTCACTTGCCACATCTGCAAACTGTAGCTAAATGACAACTTGCCTACCTGGATATAGAAGGTTAGACCAAATATGCCTGACAGGTTAAAAAAAAAAAAAAAAAGAGGCAGACTTTTCGGAATAATAGAAGAGACCTACATTAGTTTTTAGAGAAATTGTATTCGAGGTCCCCTCCAGTAAAGAGCTGTGTAGCTGCAAAAAATATAGAATTCATTTACATATTAACATACAATTCCATTTTCAGAGACTGAAAAAAAAGCCTCAGGACAAACAAGGCCATTAACCCTTCCTATTTCGATAGAATGCTGAACAAATTGCTCTCCATCACTAAGGAGCCACAGATTCTGAACAAACTCTACTGTAACTCTACAGCTTTCACTAAAGGTGGCAAAGTGCATGGGTGACATTTGAGAGTTTAGAATGCCCTAGAAAGAAATTATTGGAAGAAGAGTCACATGTGGAAAACTATTAATTGTTAAATGAACCCGATTACAAATTCTAATTTCTTGATGACATATTTATCTGGATACATTTTTTCTTTCCCAAATATTATTTTAATTACCAACAAAAATTGCATGTAAGAAAAATGAAGAGAAAGAAAGGCATTGTACCAGAGACATGTACTATCAATGGACAAGAAATTGAAGACATTCTCTTTTTTTTTTTTGGAGAGACAGGGTCTCACTGTGTTGCCCAGGCTGATCTCAAACTCATGGGCTCAAGTGATCCTCCCACCTCAGCCTCCTAAAGTCCTGGGATTACAGGCATCAGCCATCAAATCAGCTAAAAAATTTCTTGATGAAGACAAGTAGATATCACTCATAACTGAACTCAAGCAAAGGAAAGCTTTTTGAAACATTAGAAATAATATTTTTTCAATAAAATAATCCACAACTCAGGGTTGAAAGAGGAAGTGATATGGAAGCCCTGTGGAAGATGGCAGCGTGACTTTAAGAACTGTGCCTTTTCTAAACACAGAATGCATTTAACTGTAGCATTCACACCATGCGGAAGTTTAGCTTAATCAATAGAAAATTGGGACTTTGGCAAAGTAGACTTGGATTACTGGCATTAGAAGAGAGAGAAAAGATAAATAGTTCTCCAGCTAACTTTCAGCCCCAAAACACAAGAAGGATAAATGACTCAGCACAGCAATAAAATCCCTGGAAACTTTAATTTCTACAGTAATTCTTTCCCTACATACTTATAACCTCAGCAACTAAAATCCAGGCCAGAAACAGACACTCCTAATATTCTGCCATCAGAGGATTAAAAACTTGTTGGTTTAGAAAGTCGACCCTGGAGATCAGGCCAAACAACTTGGACAATTCCACCACAGACAAGAAAAGAATGCCTTTTTAGTATGAGTGTGTACTGTTTCCCTAGTAAAGAAAATAAAAATAAGCAAAAACAAAACAAAAAACCCACAAAGCGTTGTCATGGTCAAAAGATATGCCTGTAGCAATGCGAATTGACTTTGTAACCCAGAGAAGAAGGTGAGCATACTTACCTGCTGGCATGGCTGTATAGACTCCTGGCTCAGTGCCTTACTGAGGAGGTCCTCACCAGTTGCAAAGGATGGATCTACACCCTCCATTCTAAAAATTGGCACTATTGGCAAATAAGGTGACACAGGAACATACTCAGTATTCTGAAAAGAAGCTCAAAGGCAGTAAATGTCATTTTTCTAATGAAACAGAGTTAATACAAGAAAGAAGAGAGTTAGTATTCTCCATGGAAATTGAGACCATATGGCATCCATAAATCAAAAGCAAGATACTATGATAAATGAATCAAAGAAGAATAAAAACAATTTAGAAATATAAGTGCTAAAATTTTAAAATATTCTACCTAAGGAATGAAATGCATAATGAACTCAGATTTTTTTTTATTTGTTTTTCAGTAGAGTGAGTCATCAATTTTATCAAGAAACTATGCATCCACATGTACTGGTAGTCTTCTCTTAGAGAAAGTTAGATAGCAGAAGCAATAAAAGTAAAATAGAAATTAACACTTTAAATAAGCATAATTTATTAAAGTAAGCTTCCTTTTTCAAAATAGTATTAAAATAAAAACTTCTTGCAGATATTCCCAAGAATAAAGAAATAAGATTTAAAAAAATTAAGCATAGAGACACAGATTAAAGGCTAAAATTTGAGGTCAAAGTGTCATACAGGAATAAAGTATAACTTTATACCAATAAACTTATAAATATAATAATTATTATTATTATTATTATTATTTTAGAGACAGGGTCTCACCCTTCCACCCAGGCTCAAATGTAGTGGCACTATCACAGCTTTCTACAGCCTCAAACTCTTGGGCTCAAGCAATCTTCCTATTTCAACCTCCCAAATAGCTGGGACTACAACTGCATGCTACCATGCTTAGCTAATTTTTTTTTTTAAATTTTGTAGAGATAGAGGCTTGTTATGTTGCCCAGGCTGGTCTCGAGCTCCTGATCTCAAGTGATCCTTCTGTCTTGGCCTCCCAAAGTGCTGGGATTACAGCTGTGAGCCACTGTGCCTGGCCAATACAATTATTTTATTGGAAAATATAAATGACCAACTTTACAAAATATTTCAAAATCCTGAATAGACCCATAACAAAGGCATGAGATTCATAAATTTTAGCAAAGGGTCAGGTTTTTAATTTTGCTTCAGAGCATAGAAAAACATGAGATCTTTCAAACATTATTCATAAACCTGCTGTATCTTTAATATTCAATGAACAAAGAGAGCATAAAAATTACAATAGATAAACATCACTTATGCATATAGATACTTTATTAATATCATAAAGGTAAATATTAGCCATAAAGTCTGGCAGAAGTAAAAGAATATTGTACCAAGAGAAAAGTAGTATTCATTGCTTCCAGAAATAAAAAATAGTTTAATACTGAGGAAATATAATGATGTAATTCATTGCATTACACACTAACGGACAAAAATGATACATGCTATAGTAAGTCACTTAATAAAGTAAGCATTCATTACTAATCAATACCTACACTTATCACTTCTATACTGTAAGCCTTTGTCAGTGCAATTTAAGTTAAACATGTAAATATAAAATGAAAGAATTAAGATTATATGAAAATTGTCTACCTGGAAAGCCTAAAAGTATTGAGTGAAAATTCTTAGAATAAGCAAATTTTACTAGGTTACTAGATTTTTGAAAAATATACAAAATCAAGAGCACTTAATTTAACTAAAAATAATCAGTGATACAACATTAAAATATTTTTTAATTTTACATAACATCTAAGGTTAAATCTCACATGAAATATACAGTTCCAAGGTAAAGAATATTTTTAAAAAGTATACATTTAAAAACTCAAATGAATAAATGGAAGTATAAATCCTGTACAATCAAAAGACTAAATATTAAGGCACCACTTAATAAAATAGTTCAATAAATTCAGCATGGTTCAATCAAAATTCCTCGTTTTTTTGTTTTTTTTTGAAAAACTTTTAGCTTTTCTGTTCTAGAGTTAACATCTAAGAGTAAATTATTGTATTGAAAATTAAACAGTGTTAAAAATAGACATTTGAAAATTTACATCAAATCATAGTATGGCCCTGTTAAACCCCCCCACCATGGCTGTTTTCACTTAAATCTAAACTCTTTGCCATAATAAAAAAGACCATAGCTTCCATCCCCAGCTCATGCCAGGTTTCCTCTCACACACAGCACTACAGTTCTCTCTCCTCTTGCAGGTGGCAGAATAATGAGCCTCTGAAAAAGTTCATGGCCTCATCCCTAGAACCTGTAAATATGTTCTGTTATGTGATAAAGGGGAATTCAGTTTGCATAAGAAATAAAGACTGTTTATCAACTGACCTCTTTCAAGGGCACTCTGTCTAATTCAGTCTTGTGACACTTCATCTTAATCCCTTTACAGAACTTTAGCACAATTTGTGATACGTTTTCTCTGTGTGCTTGTTATGGTCTAGATTCTTCACCAAGTTCTATGTAAGCACGGGCCTTATCTTTCTTGTTTCATGTTATATGCCCAGGCCTTCACATGGTACCTAAAACAGACAAATGACTAAGCAAATGTATGAATATACTATGAATTCATGATAATAAAATTATATAATAATAGCACATAAGAGTATATATCAGTAGACAAGATGAGATCCCAAAGATTTATGAAACTCCAACATATAATACAGATTACCTTTTAAATCTATGAGTAATAGGTAGACTACCTAATATGTTTTGTGTGCAGAAATTGGAGTCACTATGTCTTTTAAGGTATTACACAACCTCTTGTTATGCTCAAAAGCAAAATCAAGACAACTTGAAGATTAAAATGTAAAAATAAAAATATTTTATAATTTTAAAATGAAAAAGATCTTTATGATAATAATATGAACACAGAAACTATAAAGAGAAAAGATCAATACATTTGGGAACTTAGTCATTTAAATGTTTCATAACAAATAATCCCATAAGCCAAATTATAAAACACTATAAGCAAATTTTAAAGTAATGGAAAAATTTTTTTCAATCCATTTGAAATAGGTTACTATGCAAAATAGCAAAAATGTCTGCAAATTAATACTAAAATAGACCTATCTTTGTAAATAAAAAAGAATAAAAATAAATAATTTACAAATTTTACAAACAAACATGAAAAGACTTGCAAAAAGCAATTCACAGAATTGACCAATAAACAATTAATAAGATCTTGAATCTTAATAATCAAATAAATACAAATCAGAACAATGATTTTTTTATGCATCAGATTGGCAAAGATTAAAATACTTAATACTCATTTGAATGAGGAAGATACCGGGCATTCTCAACCATTTAAGGAGGGTCCAATGGTACAATATATTTTGCAATACCTATCTTGCCTTCCCTTTGAACTAACAATTCCACTTTTAGTGATTACACACAAATTTACCCAAAGTTATTATGCAGGTAGAATAATCATCACAGTAGTGTGTGTAATTACAAGAAGAAAAGAAGGAAAGACAGAAAGAAAAAGGAAGAGAAAGAAAGAAAAAGGAAGGAAGGAAGAAGAGGAAAGAAGGGGAGGGAGGGAAGGAAGGAAGGAAGGAAGGAAGGAAGGAAGGAAGGAAGGAAGGAAAGAAGGAAGGAAGGAAGGAAGGAAGGAAAAAAAGAAAGAGAAAAGAAAGCTAGCTAGCTTAAGAGACTAGGTACAGAGCAGGGAATATAGAAAAGTTTCTCTAGGTGTAAGTTTGCACATAAGTTGCATAAAAATTGGAAGAATATGTACCAAACTTTTAATCATATTTATCTCTGAAGAGTTGATAAGGGAATCAAAAAGCCTTGACTAAGCATGTTTTTACATGTTAATTTGTTTTCTGGCCATTGTTTTCTGTCCAGGCAATAGTCTACTATAGACCATGTTTTATATACTATCTCTTAGGGTAGGAGAAATTGGTAAATGACGATTATCAAATTCAAAAACGAAAAGCAGTTTAGAACTTCTAAAAATGATGAATTAAAATGACTATCAAAGCTCTTAGGGATCTCTAGGAATAACACTATTTCCCAAAAAAGGCTCTTCTATTTGGTTTCTATCATTTAGAAAATTAGGGGAAATTTTGGGGAAAATAACTTTAATTCATTACGCATCATACTTGCCATTTTTCTGTTTACTTCCTTTTCTCCACTCTAGTGCTCAAAAATGCTTGAGAGGAAAAAGAATCAAAATGCACACTCAACTTTAGCAAAGAGCCGATCCTATTATGTAAAAATTTCATAAAACAAATAAGAACTATATAAGAAAGTTGTGAGATATTTTTCACATGAAGATGGTACAATTGAAGCAAATTGAAATAAGTCCTCCCTGACATTTAAAGATGTCCTGGAACCCAGTTGACAGTCATGCATATTCAATCTATAAGCTTAGAGAGACAATCTTTGTGGAACCAATCTCAGATCAGTAAGAGACAAATCTGGCACATAAATTGTCTCCCTTCCTCTCTCTAGAAGGACTGTCATAAGACCAGCAGATCATGCAGTCTCCCCAGCAATAGTCTTACCAAATTAAACAGTCATTATACTTGATGTCAAGTGATAGCTAACTCAGTAACACACCCCATCATATTCGTTTTCTTTACTTCCTGCCTCACTCTCTTTTCCCTCTCTCTCACATCTCAAAGACTACACTCCCCAGGAAAGTCTTAAAACATAAATATTTGCCTAACACTACTTTCTAGGAAACTATGTTGCCTGGCATGAGTTTTCTCTATTTAAGATGCAAAAACTAAAATTTTGAAAATTAAACTATGATTTCAAAAACATGTAGAATTTCAGTTCTATGACTTGATTATGATGATTTAGCTCTGTGTCCTTAGACAAGTCAATTAGTTTCTCAGAAATCAACTTTCCAATTTGTAAAACTCATTTTCTTCTTAATAGCCATTTATTTCACTTATGCTATGTCCCAGGTGTTTTACTAAACACTAGTGATAAAATGATAAATAATACTAGTCAAGATCCTCAGTATTCCCGATAGACAAGTACATTAGATATTATGGTAAAATGTACTAAATGCAGTGACAGAGTTATTAAAAAAATTATGGGTGCAAGAGAAGGAGCAGCTAACTCATCCTTAGTGCTTTAAAAAGAAGAAAGTCTTCCTGGATGAATCAGTATCTGTAAAGATTCTTAAAGGATATGTAATTTTAGGTAAGAAATCATGTTGGAAAGGACATTCTAGGCAAGAAAATAGCATGGAAAAAACACCCTGAAAGAAATCTATTTATGAAATACAAAACAGATTACTGAAGCAAAAAATCATAGAGCCAAAGATGAGTAATGAATGAAGAAAAGTAGACAAGGCTGTGTTTGCACCATTAAGACTTTGGGCTCTGCTGAAAGTGACAGGAAGGCCATAAAGATTTCCCAGTAGAGGCCGGGCGTGGGGGCTCATGCCTGTAATCCTAGCACTTTGGGAGGCCGAGGCGGGCAGATTGCCTGAGGTCAGGAGTTTGAGACCAATCTGGCCAACATGGTGAAACCCCGTCTCTACTAAAGATACAAAAAAAAATTAGCCAGGTGTGGTGGCATATGCCTGTAATCCCAGCTACTTGGGAGGCCAAGGCAGGGGAACTGCTTGAACCAGGGAGGTGAAGGTTGCAGTGAGCCAAGATTGCGCTACCGCACTCCAGTCTGGACGACAGAGTGAGACTCCATCTCAAAAAAAAAAAAAAAAAAAAAAATTTCTCAGTAGAATGGCATAGTTGCACAAACTGTTCTCAATAGTTTTCTCTCCCTCGAATTCTGTGATTCTATAACCCTATATTTTGTAATAAAAAAAGAGGTTAAAAGTGGCATTTTGTTGAAGTTATATAGATTCTATGGTAGTGTGCTAGTAACAATATTTAAATAAAAGTTATTAATCATTTGATAACACAAGATCAATTCCATATGCATGATTTCATCAGACCACATCTGGAATGCTTTTATTATTTATAGGAAATATATTTTAGAAAAAATATTTTGAATCTGACAATATCCAAAAAGTATCAAAGATTATGAAAGATTCAGAAAACCATTTCTCGGGAAAAAAAAAAAAAAGCACTTTCTGTCTTCAAATTTCAAACAGCTGTCATGTGAAAAAAAAAAAAGAAAGAAAGAAACAGACCTATGCGATGTAGCTGAAGCCTACAGATTTAAGATGTAACTGTAATCTGTGAAAAAGTTATAGGAAGCAAAATTCCAGCTTAATATATAAAAACAGAACATGACATAATTTAAGTTTTTCAAGAAAACATCAATCATTTTTGACCATAAAACTTCAAACAGAGCTTAGAAACAATCTGTTTTTTTAAAAATGGGTGCTGGTCCTTGGACATGAAATAATAACTTACCCTCCCACCATTTAAAAAAATGCTAAAAAACTGAAAAAAAATATTTAAAAGTTGAGTTTAGACATTGGGCATTAGACAGTAGAATACTGTAATATCTGAGAGAGGAGAGAAAAAATGAGACCTTGGTCACTTTAGATTTCTACCCGGTACATTTTCTAGACCATGGAGTAGGGGGAAGAAAGCCAAGCAGAACACCATCGCCTCACTGGTTTGAAAAGACAGATGGAGTTTAGAAAGGCTGAGATACCTGGAGTTTTCAAGACAGAGCACAGAAAAAGGATGCTACTAAGAAAAGGAGTTCCAAAAATACACATAGGCATTCCTTTAAATATGTTGCTGAATACTAAGATACATACGCATAGGGTGAAACTTTATGAGGCAAAGAGTTAGAAAGCTGAATAATTTCCAGGACTCACATTGGTCTGGGAAATGTTTGAGTTTCAACTAGGAAGAATAGAGACACTTTGTGGAACATCCTAACCATTGTGTACAGCATAATTATAGACATATACCAGCCCCTATATTAAAGCTTGTTTAAGGGTAAAGGCTAATTTAGGTCCACTCTAATAAAGTTTATACGTAAGTTACAAAAGGATCAAACTTACCCACAATAACTTAATTGTCCACCAAAACAAAATCCAACACTCTTTAAAAGAAAATACAAAATCCAAGTATTCAACAACATACTATTATAATGCCCTGCTTCCCATAAAAAGTGCTATATATTACAAGAAGTAGAAAGATGTGACACATAAACATAAGAAAAATCAATAAATAGAAACATTCAGAAATGGAAGGGAAGATGAAATTAGTAGACAATAACTTTGAAAGAGCTTTTATAAATTTCCTGAAATATTTAAAGGAAAACCTGATGTTAATGAGGAGGAATAGAAGATAAAAATAGAACAAATCAAAATTTGACCTCTAGGTACTGGAAAACCTGAGGTGACTAGTGACTGGACTGGGACCCCAACATATCACAGCAGCCCGACAGAAAACTGGCCAGACGGCTACGGGGGTGTCCATTATCTTCTCACCAGGCAGGTCCTTCAGACCTGGGCCTCCAGCCAGCCCCTCACCAGAGCTATCAAGCCAGCACCAACTCAGCAACTCCCTGGACAGAGCCTCCAGAGGCAACTGAAAGCCTCTCTGCCACTGCCTATCCAGTGGATCTACCCTTACTACTCTCAGACTAATGAAGGAGCAAAGACCCTAAATGCATTATCTACACCTCCAACAAGCTTCAGTAGACCCAAGGAAAGGAGGTCACTCCATTTTTTATGGGTCTCACACAACTCCCACTGCCTGTCACCATATAGGGAACCCCTGGCTTGGGCCCACAGCTCAGACTTTCCATCCTGGGCTGACTGCACTGAGCAATTACTGATCTACATCTCTCTGGGGTGGAGCCCCCAGGAGACAAGCAAAACACACTTGGCCACAAGCACTTACTAAGGTCCCTTCCTCTGCTGCCTCTAAGATGGGGAAGGAATATAAACCCTGAGATTGCCTGAGAGCTGCAGTGGACAGCCCAGGATTGCCAAGTCACAATTTATGCCAGCACTCTAGTGGGAGAGGAATTCACACTTTCAGAGCATTGAGAGGGAACACAACAGCCACTGTGAGGGAAGACAAGGGAGCTACACAACTGAGCAACAGTCTACCAACTGACCAATAATCCTAAGTACCACCTACTGAATCACACCCTAAACCTTCAACACCAAAATGCTTCACTAATATACCCACCTCTGATACCAGAGACAAGAAGTCAGCTTCAAATAAAAACCGTGCATAAAGCCTCAGCCTAGTGAACATATCAAAAAAAGAAGTCTATTGACTGTACTCCATCTACACTGCAGTTAAAGGAACACCTACAAACAGAGATGAGTAAGATCCAATGCAAGAACTCCAGTAACTCAAATGGCCAGAATGCTGTATGTCCTCCAAAAGACCACACCAGTCCTCCAACAAGAGTTTGTAACCAGACTGTACTGGCTGGAATGACAGAAATAGAATTGAGACTATGGATAGAAACAAAATCATCAAGATTCAGGAGGATGGCAAAACCCAATCCAAGGAAAATAAGAATCACAATAATACAATACAAGAACTGAAGGATAAAATAGCTGGTGTGTATATGTGTGTGTGTATATATATATATACACACATATATCTATATGACATATGAAATATATGTATTTTATATATTTATATATTTTTGTATATATTATATATAATATATGAAATTGAATATATAAATATATTTATATATATACATACATATATATATATACATACATATATATATATATATGAATACTGAATGGGTCTGTCAGAGCTGAGTAACACCATACAAGAATTTCAGAATGCAATTAGCCGTATTAAGAGAAGAATAAGCCAAGCTGAGGAAAGAATCTCAGAACTTAAAAGACTAATTCTCTGAAATAAGACAGACAAAAATAAAGAAAAAAGAATAAAAAGAAATGAACAAAACCTCCAAGAAGTATGGGATTATGTGACGAGATCAAATCTACGAATTATTGGCATCCCTGAAAGGGAGGAGGAGAAAGCAAACAACTTGGAAAACATATTTCAGGATCTCATCCATGAAAACTTCCTCAACCTTTTTAGAGAGACCAACAGTCAAATTCAGGAAACAAATGGAATTCTTGGAAAATTCTGTGCAAGAAGATAAACCCCAAGAACATAATCATCAGATTTTCCAAGGTTGAAATGAAAGAAAGAATGTTAAAGGCAGCTAGAGAAAAAGGGTGGGTTACCTACAAAGAGAATATCATCAGACTAACAGTGGACCTCTTAGCTGAAACCCTACAAACAAGAAGAGATTGGGGGCCTATATTCAACACTCAAAGAAAAAATTTTTCAACCAAAAATTTCATATCCAGCCAAACTAAGTTTTCTAAGCAAAGAAGAAATGAGATACTTTTAAGATAAGCAAATTGATATGGTTTGGCTCTATGTACCCACCCAAGTCTCACCTTGAATTGTAATCCCCATAATCCCTATGTGTCAAGGGCAGGACCAGGTGGAGATAATTGGATCATGGGGGCAGTTTCTCTTATGCTGATTTCATGATAATGGGTGAGTCTTACAAGATCTAGTGGTTTGATAAGTGTCTGGCATTTCCTCTGCTTGTACTCACTCCATCCTGCCACCCTGTGAAGAAGGCGCCTGCTTCTCCTTCACCTTCTGCCATGATTGTAAGTTTCCTGAGGCCTCCCCAGCAATGCAGAATTGTGAGTTAATTAAATCTCTTTTCTTTATAAATTACCCAGTCTCAGGTATTTATTCCTAGCAGTGTGAGAATCCATTAATACAGTAAATTGGTAGCAGGAGTTGGGTGCTACTATAAAGATTCCTGAAAATATGGAAGCAACTTTGGAACTGGGTAACAGGCAGAGGTTGGAACAGTTTGGAGGGCTAAAGAAGACAGGAATGTGAGAAAGTTTGGAACTTCCTAGAGACTTGCTGAATGGCTCTGATCAAAATGCTGATAGCGATATGGATAATGAAGTCCAGGCTGAGGTGGTCTCTGATGGAAATGAGGAACTTCTTGGGAATTGGAGTAAAGGTGATTCTTGCTATGCAAAAAGAAAAACTGGCAGCATTTTACCTCCACCCTAGAGATCTGTGAAACTTTGAACTTCAGAGAGATGATTTAGGGTATCTGGCAGAAGAAATTACTAAGCAGTAAAGTGTTCAAAAGAAAGCAGAGCATAAAAGTTTGAAAAATTTGCAGACTGACAATGCGATAGAGAATAAAAACACATTTTCTGGGGAGATATTCTATCAAATCCACATATATCAATAAAAACCTTGAATGTAAACAGGCTAAATGCCCCCACTTAAAACACACAGAGTGGCAAGGTATATAAAAAACTAGGGCCTAATGGTATCCTGTCTCCAAGAGACTCATCGCACATGAAATGACACACATAGGCTCAAAATAAGGGGGTGGGGGAAAATCTACCAAGCCAATTAAAAACAGAAAAAAGCAGGGTTGCAATGCTCATATTAGATGAAACAGACTTTAAACCAACAAAGATCAAAAAAGACAAAGAAGGGCATTACATAATGGTAAAGGGTTCAATTCAACAAGAAGACCTAACTGTCCTAAATGTATATGCACCTAACACTGAAGCACCTAGATCCTTAACCAAGTTCTTAGAGACCTACAAAGAGATATAGACTCCCACTCAATAACAGTAAGAGACTTCAACACTCCACTTACAGTATTGGACAGATCAATGAGGCAGAAAATTAACAAAGATATTCAGGACCTGAACTCAACATTGCACCTAATGGATACAATAGACATCTACAGAACTCTCTTAT
The DNA here is from genome assembly GCF_000001405.40 of Homo sapiens. Taxonomy (NCBI): domain Eukaryota; kingdom Metazoa; phylum Chordata; class Mammalia; order Primates; family Hominidae; genus Homo; species Homo sapiens. The sequence continues at coordinate 17,842,004 of NC_000005.10, read as the reverse complement.
TCAAAAACAGAATATACCTTCTTCTCATTGCCATATGGCACATACTCTAAAGTTGACCATGTGATTGGATATAAAACAATCCTCAGTAAAGGCAAAAGAATGGAAATCACACCAAACATACTTTCAGACCAAAGTGCAATATAAATAGAAGTCAAGACTAAGAAAATTGTTCAAATCAATTCAAATACATGAAAATTAAACAACATTCTCCTGAATGGCTTTTGGGTAAATAATGAAATTAAGGCAGAAATCAAGAAGTTCTTTGAAACTAATGAGAACAAAGATACAACAAACCAGAATCTCTGGACACAGCTAAGGCAGTATTAAGAGAGAAATTCATAGCACTAAACACCCTATTGAAAATTTAGAACAATCTCAAATTAACAACCTAACATTACAACTGAAAGACTTAGAGAAGCAAGAACAAATCAACCTCAAAGCTAGCAGAAGACAAGAAATAACCAAAATCAGAGCTGAACTGAAAGAAATCATGACATGAAAAAACATTGAAAAGATCAGTGAATTCAGGAATTGGTTTTTTGAAAAGATTAATAAGATAGGTCACTAGCTAGACTAATAAAGAAGAAAAGAGAAAAGATCCAAATAAACAGTTACCAACTATATATTGTCTGTAAGCAAATACATGCTATCTGTATATCACTTTTAAATTTTTTTATTGATACACAATAAATGTACATATTTTCAGGATGCACATGACAATTTAATACATTTACATAATTTGTAAAAATTAAGTCAATGTAATTGGGATACCCACCACCTTAAATATTTTCTTTTCTTTATGCTGGAAACATTTTTTCTTTTTTCTTTTTTCTTTTTTTTTTTTTTAATTTTTTTTTTTTATTATACTTTAAGTTTTAGGGTACATGTGCACATTGTGCAGGTTAGTTACATATGTATACATGTGCCATGCTGGTGCGCTGCACCCACTAACTCGTCATCTAGCATTAGGTATATCTCCCAATGCTATCCCTCCCCCCTCCCCCGACCCCACCACAGTCCCCAGAGTGTGATATTCCCCTTCCTGTGTCCATGTGATCTCATTGTTCAATTCCCACCTATGAGTGAGAATATGCGGTGTTTGGTTTTTTGTTCTTGCGATAGTTTACTGAGAATGATGGTTTCCAATTTCATCCATGTCCCTACAAAGGACATGAACTCATCATTTTTTATGGCTGCATAGTATTCCATGGTGTATATGTGCCACATTTTCTTAATCCAGTCTATCATTGTTGGACATTTGGGTTGGTTCCAAGTCTTTGCTATTGTGAATAATGCCGCAATAAACATACGTGTGCATGTGTCTTTATAGCAGCATGATTTATAGTCCTTTGGGTATATACCCAGTAATGGGATGGCTGGGTCAAATGGTATTTCTAGTTCTAGATCCCTGAGGAATCGCCACACTGACTTCCACAATGGTTGAACTAGTTGACAGTCCCACCAACAGTGTAAAAGTGTTCCTATTTCTCCACATCCTCTCCAGCACCTGTTGTTTCCTGACTTTTTAATGATTTATGCTGGAAACATTCTAATTATTCTCCTCTAGCTATTTTGAAATACAATTGATTATTGTATAGTCACCCTACTGCTCTATTGAACACTAGATCTTATTTCTTCTATGAAAATCTATTATTTGTACCCATTAATCAATTTCTCTTTCCACTTATTTATAAAGTGGCCAAGAGTTTAAATGCCAAAGAATGGAAAAACTTATATCATTCAATCATCAATTATAAGAAAGTTGAAATGTCTATAGTAATATTTGAGAAAGTAAACCTCATAAGAAGAAACATTACCAAAAGAAAAAAGGGACAGCCACAATACAAAAAAAGTTCAATTCATCAAAGAGACATAATAATCCCAAGTATGTATTCATTTAATAACAGAGCTGCTCAAGTAGTGAAGCAAAACAGACAAACTTCAAAGAAAAGTAGAGACTTTCCAATTACATTTAGAGATTTCAACATTCTTCTTCCAGTAATTTCAAGTAAACATAAAATCAGCAAGTATGCAGAACATTTGAACACTACTGACACACTTGATGTAATTCATATTTTTAAATACCACATTCCTTTACTGCCTAATACAGTCTGTTCAAATGCATATGAAAATGTCACAGTTATACCATTTTCTGGGTCATAATACAATTCCCAATGAATTTTAAAGTATTGACACTTTACAGAGTATGTTCTTTGACTATAATAAAACTAAATTGAAATAAAACACAACAATATGAGGGAAAAAGCAATGTCTGGAAAACTGGCAAGTATTTGGAAATTAATCATCACACTTCTAAATACTCCATGAGTCAAAGAAGAAAACCCAAATCATTTTAACTGAAGGAAAATAAAATTAAATTATCAGAATTTTGAAATTGGAGATAAAAGAGTGAGTAAAGAAAAATACATAGCTGTAAATACTTACATTAGAAAAGGGCTAAATCAATGGTCTAAGTTTTATTTTAAGAAACAAGCAAGCAAGTTAAATCCAAAGTATATAGAAGAAAGAATATAATAAAAATCTGTGCAGAAACTGGTAACATAAAAATCTGGCAAACAGGAAAATAAATAAAAAATCTAAAAGCTGCTAATTTGAAAATGTAGATGAATTGATTAATTTCTAGCTGTAATGGTCAAGTAAAAATGAGAGGAAGCAAATTAACAGTTTTAAGAATAAATGAGGGAGTACTACTATAGATCCTACAGACATTAAAAAAATCCTAAGGGAATATTATTTTAATTCAAAGTTTTAACTAAAATAAACAAATATATGAAATGTAAAAACAGACAGGAGAATTTAGAAACTGTGAAATGCTCTATAATCATTAAATGATTCAAACTTTAATTTAGAACCTGCTCACAAAGAAAGGTACAGGTTAAGATAGCTTCATTGGTGAAATCTGTTGAACATTTCTGGAAGAAGTAACACAAAATAATACAAATCTTTTTATAAAATTTAACAGGACAGAACACTTTTTAGCTCATTTTATACGGCCAGTATTACCTTGATAATAAATGAGAAGAAAACTACAAGAAACCTACCAACAAATATCTTTCATGGACATTGTATTAGTTTTTTGTTGTGGCTGTTACTGGAACAAACTTCCACAAACGTAGTAGCTTAACACAGATTTATTATCGTATAGGTCTGTAGGTCAGAAATCTGACACACTGGAATAAAATCAAGGATTGGCAAGGCTGCATTCCTTTCTTGGTGCTCTGGTACAGTATCCGTTTCCTTGCCTTTTCCTGTCTCTAGAGGCCACTCACATGTATTGGTTTATAGCTGTTTTCCTCCATCTTTAAAGCCAGCAACACCACGTTCCTCTGACCTTGCTTCTGTTGACACATCTCCCTGACCACCACTAGGAAAGCTTATCTGCTTTTAAAGACTCTTGTCATTAGATTGGCCTCACTCTGATAATGCAGAATAATCCCCAGCTAATGGTTTTTAACTTGAAACACATCTTTGAAGTTCCTTTTTCCATGTGATGTAGCAAAGTCACAGATAAAGTGGATTAGGATGTGGACATATTTGGGGGAGCCATTTTTCTGACTACCAAAAACATGGTATTAAGAAGTAATATTCTTACTATTAAGAAGAATATTACTAATAAGAAAATTAATAATATTTTTATTATTGAGAAGCAATATTCTTAATACAATATTTAGAAGCCACATTCAACAACATCAAGAAAATGAAACCTGAAAAAGTGAAATTTGTTTATCCCAGGAATGCAAAGTTGATGTGTAATTCACGCTATTAACATAAGAACATGGGAATTTTATATAATCATCTCAGTAGATATAGAACAAACATTTCAAAAAATTTGAAACCTCTTTTGATTAAAAAAATTATATCAAAATATTGATTAAAGGAAATGTTCTCAACTTAATAAAAAGTATCTCTAAAAATCCCACAGCTAACATAATGTTTAATGATAAAAAACTGAAAACTTTTTCTCTAAGAATGGAAGCAAAGCAAATTTCTTGCTTTCATCACTTTTGGCCAAGAGCCAAATCATAAATGAACTCCAATTCACAATTGCCACAAAGAGAATAAAATACCTAGGAACACAGCTAACAAGGGAAGTGAAGAACCTCTTCAAGGAGAACTACAGACCACTGCTCAAGGAAATCAGAGAGGACACAAACAAATCGAAAAACATTCCATGTTCACGCATCAGAAGAATCAATATCATGAAAATGGCCATACTGCCCAAAGCAATTTATAGCTTCAATGCTATTCCCATTAAACTAATATTGACATTTTTCACAGAATTAGAAGAAACCATTTTAAAATTTATATGAAACCAAAAAAAGAGCCTGAATAGCCAAGACAATCCTAAACAAAAAGAACAAAGCTGGAGGCATCATGCTACCTGACTTTAAGCTATACTACAAGGCTACAGTAACCAAAACAGTATGGTACTGGTACAAAAACAGATGCATAGATTAATGGAACAGAATGGAGAACTCAGAAATAAGACCACATACCTACAAGCATCTGATCTTCAAGAAACCTGCCATAAACAAACAATGGAGACAGGATTCCATATTTAATAAATGGTGCTGGGAGAACTGGCTAGCCATACACAGAAAATTGAAACTGGACCCCTCCCTTACACCTTACATACAAAAATTCACTCAAGATAAATTAAAGACTTAAATGTAAAACCCAAAACTATAAAAACCCTAGAAGAAAATCTAGGTAATGCTATTCAGGACATAGGCACTGGAAAAGATTTCATGACAAAGATGCCAAAAGCAATTGTAACAAAAACGAAAATTGACAAATGGGATCTAATTAAACTAAAGAGCTTCTGCACAGCAAAACAAACTATCATCGGTTTGAAAAGACAACCTACAGAATGGAAGAAAATTTTTGCAATGTATCTATCTGACAAAGGTCTAATATGCAGAGTCTACAAGGAACTTAAATTTACAAGAAAAGAAAAAACATTAAAAAGTAGGCAAAGAACATGAACAGACACTTCTCAAAAGAAGACATTCATGTGGAAAACAAATATATGAAGAAGAGCTCAACATCACTGATCATTAGAGAAATGCAAATGAAAACCACAATGAGATACCATCTCATACCTGTCAGAATGGTGATTACTAAAAAGTCCAGAAAGAACAGATGCTGGCAAGGTTGTGGATAGAAAAGAACACTTTTATACTGTTGGTCAGGACGTACATTAGTTCAACCACTGAGGAAGACAGTGTAGCAATTCCTCAAAGATCTAGAGGCAGAAATACCATTTGACCTAACAATTCTGTTACTGAGTATATACCCAAAGAAATATAAATTATTCTATTATAAAGATACTTGCACCCATATGTTCATTGCGGAAGTATTCACAATAGCAAAGACATAAAATCAACCCAAATGCCCATCGGTGATAGACTAGATAAAGAAAATGTGGTACATCTACACCATGGAATACTATGCAACCATAAAAAGGAACAAGATTATGTTCTTTGCAGGGACACGAATGGAACTGGAAACTATTACCCTCAACAAACACAAGAACAGAAAATCAAACACTGCATGTTCTCACTTAGAAGTGGGAGCTGAACGATGAGAATGCATGGACACATGGTGGGCAACAACACACAGTGGGACCTCTCACAGGTAGGGATAGGGAGAGCATCAGGAAGAATAGCTAATAGATGCTGGTCTTAATTCATGGGTGATGGGTTGATCTGTGCAGCAAACCACCATGGCACATGTTTAGCTACGTAGCAAACCTGCACATCCTGCACATGTATGCTGAAACTTCAAATAAAAGTTAAAGAAAAAAAACAGAATACTCATTCACACAAAACATGGATGAATCTCAACAATGTGCTGATTAGAAGCCAGAACACAAGAGCATTTACATTATGATTACATTTATATACAATCATAGAAAAGGAAAACTAATATATTGTGACAGAAAGTACATTGGCAGTTACCTGGAGCTGTGGATGACACAAAGGAATTTTCTGTGATGATGGAAATATATATCTTGATTACAGTCATGGTTACAGGGGTGTCTACACTTGTCAAAATGCACCAATCTATATTCTTAGAATGGGATATTTTATTGGTTGTAAACAATAGCCCAATAAATTTAATTTAAAAAAATGTTTCTTGGCCGGGCATGGTGGCTCACACCTGTAATCCCGGCACTTTGGGAGGCCGAGGCGGACAGATCATTTGAGGTCAGGAGTTCAAGACCAGCCTGGCCAACTTGGCAAAACCCCTTCTCTACTAAAAATACAAGTGAGCCAGGCACAGTGGCGGGCTCCTGTAATCCCTGCTATTCGGGAGGCTGAGGCAGAAGAATCACTTGAACCCCGGGAGGCAGAGGTTGCAGTGAGCCGAGATCACACCTCTGCACTCCAGCCTGGGCAACAAGAGCAAAACTCTATCTTTAAAAAAAAAAAAAAGTTTCTTCCACCCCAAAATCGATCTTTTAGGATATTTTGGAAGAGGATACCTAAATTGAATGGACAATTCAAATAAATATTCTGTACCCTAGATGATCCCTTCTATGTGCCTATGTGTGTCATCTTCATTCTCTGCTTGATTAAAATGCTTAAAAGAATCAAGCAGTAGATATCTTTACAGATGTGAGTTTATATTATAAATTTTATAAAAAGTGACTGTCAGTAATAGTAGATCCAGTTTTAACAATTTATCTTATGTATTTTAAATATTTGGTAAAATTTAAATACCACTTAAATTACTATAATTTTGCCTCATACAAATTTTTTTGCAAGTATATAGTTAAGTGTGTGCCTGTGTGTGTGCACTTTGACAAATGCAGACATCGGTGCAACCACCACTACAATCCTACAATCAAGATAGGTATTTCCGTTATCACAAAAAATTCTTTCATGTCACTGACAATTCCAAATAACATTTAAAAGTAATGGCAAAAACCGCAATTACTTTTGCACCAACTTTAATATATATAGAGATATATATATAGATAGATAGATAGATATAGATACACACACATATAACTCTTGAGAGAATGGAAACACTACATTTTTTTTCCAAACATATACTCTTTCCTGGTAGTTTTAGAATAAATGTATTTCTGTTCATTTAGTTCTCTTTTTAAATATTTTGCTTGGAAACTTGTATTTGACCAATATCCACAAATGATTTGTGTTATTGAAAAGCAAAGAAGGGAGAACAGGAAAGTCTAAGTCAACATTCTGTGTGACTATCCATGGGAAACACAATACTGCTAAGAATTAAATAATCTTGTATTTCAAATCTCCAAATTCCTTTAACAATGATAAATGAGAGACACCAAAAGGTTTTAGAAATTCTACCTAAGTGAGCTTTAATCATGTTAACTGAAATTTTCTTTACACTTAGAATTCTTTTTCACCTCTCAGTGAGGTTTTTGGTTTTGTTTTGTGTAGGGATGGGGAGGCAAGGGGTTGGTCATGATTATCTGACAAACTGCCTTCTAAGAACCTCATTTTGAAAAGGGTCTTACTAAGAAAAAAAAAATCTTACAACTAAATTGCTTTTACACAATGAGTTGAAATATTATTAACCATTTACATGCATAATTAGTATCAAGGCAAACTTTGTTAATAATAGTAAGACATATTCAGAAATTATCCCATCCCTTTAACATTTCAGAATAACTTCAAATATGAATGTATGCCATAAGGAGGGAAGAAATTAATAAATATTGAGTACCTACATAGGTTAAAAGCAAGTCATATAGTATTTTATTATAGTTTATTTATAGAATAAGAAAATTATTTGAACTGTGTTCCACTTATGTTTGTGTAATACGCTTGAAAATTTCTTATAGAAAAGATGGAGAAACATGCTATGAATGGCAATACAATTTTGCAGATATGTTATTGAATTAATGACCCTTCCCAAAGGTGATGATTGATTTAACCTATCTTGTGACATCTCTTTCGTGGTGGCTATGCATTTTGGTCAATAGTTGTAATATAAATATTGCTGTCATACTTATGAAATTCCAAAGTGGCAGGAAGTACAAGGCATAGCTTATACTAATGCTAATATAATGGATGGTAGAAATTCCTGAATTTATCTAATAAAATAAACTTAGAACAGATGTGAATACCTATGCCTAGGTTAATTGCCTGTATAGGACAGGACAGGAAGAATTTTATTACAAATAGTGCATGTGAAAAACTCTTAGTGGATTCAAATTCCACAACGCTTGAATAGGACAGCTGAAGTATTCTTGAATTTTATTTGACTAAATCCAAACTCTTCATTTGGCTTTCTACATGCTCAGTATGAATCAACAGAGTGATAAAACTGCCCAAAATGTTAATGCCTTCCTGAAATGCATTAAGAAAACACTGTACTCAGAATACAAGAACTGACAATGAGTGTAGCTCTGTGTTGTTCAAACAGTCCTGGGAAATGTTTTTCCTCCATGGTGCGTCACTTAAGAGGAACCCTGAAAGGCTGGAATGCATCTGGAAGACAAAGGTCTGCAAAGCACTACATGTATATTAAGGACTGATTATCTGAGAATATTTAGCCTGAAAAAGAACACACTTGGTGTGTCTGTGTGAGTCCCCCAAGAAGCACACAGCCAGATAGGACTGGATGCACAAGAGATTCATTAGAAAAATATCTATGATGTATACAAGGATAAAGGGGGAGAGAGGAGTAACAGATAGGAAGAGTCTTAATGCTGTGGTACAGCTCTGACACCTGTGGAAAGAAGAATTGAAGGATTGTATACGAAGAGCTTCAAATCATAGCAAGGTTCTAAAAAAAACGTCTTGGCCAGACCCATGGAAAGTTGGCAAGCTATAGTTAGCTGTTAGATGAATCTCCCATAGGACAGGAATGGCTTTGTTCTAGAATTGCAGCTGTGTTCAGTCATGGGGTGGAAGCAGCCCAAAGGAAGAATGGCCTGGCTTCCATGACCCTAAGCATCCAAAGGTGCAGCCATTGGAGGCTGTCAATCAAGTACGCTCCCCCAACAGGTCTTTTGAAGTCAAAACTCCATGGCCGCCATACTTGGGAGACATAACAGCTGTTTTTAATTTTACTAAAGAGCTGTAATATGGATAAAGGTTGAGATTTCTTCTACATGACTTCAAAGGACAGAAGTAGAACAAAGAAATGGATGTTTCACTCAGACTGCATCAAAAAATAAAAAATTTCTAATAATTAGAGTTCAAAGATAAAGTGAACAGTTTCACTGTTGGAAAGAGTCAGAAGGTAGACACACCTGTGAGGCCTCTTCTCAACCTTGAAGTCTAATGAGACTAGCAATAAAGGAAGTAAGGATAGAAGGAACTCAAGAAATATAGTTTACTGAAATGATTATAAGAAGACTGGATTAAGAAGCTTTTATTTTTTCTTCTGTAATAATGCTACATTTTGTGTCTCAGTAGGGAAGAGTAAGGTTATACTAAAACTCCTTTCATTAACGTGAACTGATTTTTGCCCTCTACGGAGTTAGAATCAGAGAAGTACAAATTGGACTTAAATCATAACCCTTGTGAATTGTCCTGGAAAAACATCAACAATGATTTTCTTCTCTTTAATTATTAAAAACAAAAATCTCCTTTATTTTCCTTCTCAGCACGGTATGTGTCCTGGTAAAAGAGTATTTCTAGATTTGTAACCTGATAGCTTCTGCTTCCCTTTGGGATAAAAACTGTTTTGGTTACTGTAGCCTTGCAGTATAGTTTGAAGTCAGGTAGTGTGATGCCTCCAGCTTTGTTCTTTTTGCTTAGGATTGTCTTGGCTGTACAGGCTCTTTTTTGGTTCCATGTGAAATTTAAAGTAGTTTTTTTTCTAATTCTGTGGAGACAGTCAATGGTAGCTTGATGGGAATAGCATTGAATCTATAAATTACTTTGGGCAGTATGGCCATTTTCATGATATTGAGTCTTCCTATCCATGAGCATGGAATGTTTTCTCATTTGTTTGTGTCCTCTCTTATTTCCTTGAACAGTGGTTTGAAGAATGAGATCATGTCCTTTGCAGGGACATGGATGAAGCTGGAAGCCATCGTTCTCAGAAAACTAACACGGGAACAGAAAACCAAACATTTAATGTTCTCACTCATAAGTGAGAGTTGAACAAAGAACATATGGACACAGGGAGGGGAACAACACACACCAGGACCTGTCAGGGGGTCTGGAGCAAGGGGAGGGAGAGCATTAGGACAAATACCTAATGCATTCAGGGCTTAAAACTTAGATGACAGGTTGATAAGTGCGGCAAACCACCATGGCACATGTATACCTATGTAACAAACCTGCACATTCTGCATATGTATCCTGGAACTTAAAGTAAAATTTAAAAAAATAAAATTAAAAAAGCTTTTGCACTCCATTTATTCTCAGGCCAGTGAAAGGGTTAAGTAAGCTACAGTGGAATCCTGAATTTGAGTATTGAAAATCTGGCAACCAGCCCAGGGGCCCCTTCCAAAAAGAAGCAGCTACCCTGAGCCCTTACAAAGGAGGTGGTTGCCCCAGCAACAGTATCTGATAAAAGAAAATATGGCCGCCAGGTACACATACAGATTGCAGGAGAGAGAGGAAAACTGCTCAGCTGCTGCTGCACTCAGTGTTAAGGAGTCATTTAGCAAATCTGGAGTTTTAGAGCTGAATCTTCTAACTTATAATTGTGGAAATTTTGGGGGTGGTATTTATTTAAGTCATGCCCAATATATTTCAAAATTTGGCACGTTGTAGTGATTGCTGAGCATAAATATGCCTCCCAACTTAAACAAAAGCAACCACCACAAATGACTGTCAAGATACACCAGCTAACTAGAAAGACCACTTTAAAGAAAGATTTGCTCAAAATAAACATCAATTTTTCCCCAAAGTCTTTAATCGGATTCTTCAGTCATGTCTCCGTTTTTTTATCTTTGTGCAGAGGTATGATTCCATATGAAACATTCGAACTGCTCACAGCCTTATTTTATCTAACATAATTATTTGTAATTGACACCCTCGTTCATTTATTTAAAGCCTAAACATTTACCAATCTCCTGTGTGTACTGACTGCCTTTTTTTATCATTGAATATTTTCTGGTAAATATTTTATTGTGGAATCAACTTTAGAGATTTTTGTAAGAGGCTTTAAAGCAGTTATGATCGTTAGTACTGTTTTCTTGACGGCAAAGGATGGGCGCTTACTAGAGGACCACTTTTCCTAAATGCACACTTCAGATTGATCATAATTTGTGAGTATGGTGTTGACTTATTCAATAATACAGCAATGAGAACGTGCGCAAGAGAGGCATAGGCCACTGCTCAGTGAACCAGTTTTTAATACAAATGTTTTCACTCCCCACTTCCACCCCAAATAGACAGTTCCTTTTTTTAGGTATATGACACTAGGAAAAAGACCCATAATCTTCTGGACATCCGGGTCCCAATCCTTATATTTCTATAAGCTTATGAAATGGCCTTCACAGGGCACTTAGCCTCCAGAAGTCTGTTTCCTAGAGACAACATGATAGCCTCTAAGACTTCTCTTGACTGTGCTGTTGCATGAAAATGGGTTATTGCCTTCTGTGAGGAAAAAGCAAAGTTCTGTTTGAACAAATCCATTAGATTTCTATTAGAGATTAATCAAGTTTCATTTACAACTCTTCCTGCATAAAGACCAATACTTTTCCTCAGCAAATTATTAATAAATACTACCAGCTTTAAAACTCTAATGTAAACACTTCATTGTATACACTGAATAAAAGACTCCAGCAGACACTACTCAGAAACTTCAGTGTCTTTTGATCTGTTTCTTGAGCTGGAGTATGAAATCCCTGGGCAAAGCCTAAAAGACACACAGGAAGAGTATATTCATTGCTTTTTAAAATGTGGACTAGCAAAAGACAGAGTAGGGCAGAAATAGACGTTTGTAATTACTCTTGACATGGGGGCAGGCAAGGGTAATTTTAGGGTCTTCCATGACTAACTTGAAGGGCTCTCTAATACAATGTTGCTAAAATTTGAACAGAATCTTTTTAAAGAAAAAAATATTAACTCATATACTCAGTGTTGACTTGTATTACTTTCACTATACTCTTAAATGCTTATAAATATAAAAACAGGTATAAACATCTTATGCTCACAGGACTTGGCTGTAAGAAACAAATCTGCAAATTATAAACCAAACTATTACTCCAATAAAATTAAAATTAATGTTTTTAATTTAATATGATGAATCATCTTGACATGCTGAATCTTAATCTGTTTGAAATTTGAATATCATACTGACTGCCACATCATAGTTTTGAAGGCATTTAGCATGCCTATGCTACTGTGTGCCATCTGGTAACTCAATTCACTTACCACTTTACTCAAACTCACGTGAAACCTTTATTTGCACAGTGCTTCATGATATCATTTGGACTTCACTTCTGGAAAAGAATGGTGTACTTTTTTTTTTTTTTTTTTTTTTCTGAGACAGAGTCTCGGTCTGTCACCCAGGCTGGAGTGCAGTGGCACTATCTCGGCTCACTGCAACCTCTGCCTCCCAGGTTCAAGCGATTCTCCTACCTCAGCCTTCTGAGTAGCTGGGATTACAGGCACAAGCCACCACATCCGGCTAATTTTTTATTTTTATTTTTAGTAGAGACAGGGTTTCATCATGTTGATCAGGCTGGTCTCAAACTCCTGACCTCGTGATCCGCCCGCTTCAGCCCCCCAAAGTGCTGGGATTACAGGCGTAAGCCACCGCACCTGACAAGAATGGTGTACTTTCCTTATCATGTTCTGCTATCTTTTCATTAGCTGATCACCATCAAAGATGTACTATTGCTGTCAATGTGATCTAAACATCAAGCAAATACAGGGGTAGGTTCTAGTCCAGTCACCATGTGATCCAACGTGGTTGTATGATCCAACATCAAGTTTTTCTCTGTGATCATAAAAATCCAAACAGAAAACCAAGAAATTATTGTAGAATATTCACAAAACCCCAACTGGAGAAACAGAAGCCTGTTGCATAATTTTGTCCAAAATAAACATTGTCTGTCTTGGTTTCCAGGGCAAGTGTTGTCATAACCCAGTCTTTTCAGGCATTTGCACTGTTGATTGAATAACCAGGCAGCACCGCCTCTGCTTTCTCCCTTTTCCGCTTTCTACTGAAGGTCTGAGACATGCCAAATTCTCATGTTCACAGCTCCCTGCCAGGTAGGAGTAGTGGCAATATTATTGCTTTTTGGCCAATGAGACATAAGTGAAGGACTGCCTTGGATTTGTTGGGAAAGTATTTTGCTTTCCTGATGAAAATTAGAGGTAGAAAATCATAATTTTCACTCCCTCTTCTCCTTTCTTTCTACTTTGGACATAGGTTTTCCCTTATTTTTCTTTTTCTCTGGAGGTATATCAAACATCTCATAATCATGAGAGGTCAAGACGTTAGGCGTGGCAGGAAAGAAAGGTAACAGGAACTTTATCCTTGGTTGTTTCGAAAAAATTTTTCTACATTTCTTGTTAGGTAAACAGTAAATGTCCATATGGTTTAAGGCACTGTTAATCAGGAGTTCTGTTTTTTACAGCCAGAAGCATTTCTGATACAGAGATATCATCTCCTCTTCCAAATCACCAAAATTTTTGTTAAATGAAAAATCATCATGGAATATTATGATGGAAACTTAGTTGGTACAATATATTCCATTTGCTTCCTGTGATATTTCACATTATACTTAATGTCCTATTTTCCAAATTTCACACTATATTTGCTGTATTTTGTTCCAAAATTAACTATCTGTACTCACATACAATGTCGATACTAACTTGCAATAAGAAAAATGGGTTCGTTTGGCAGAAGTCATTGAAATGGTTTGTAATATTTGGTCCTGTTCCTGAGTACATTTCCACCTCCAACCCACAGGACTCTCCATTTTGTCTTGACATTCCAACCATACAATTGCTTTCTTTGTGTCTTGTTTGTGACATATTTTCTCCTACCTGGGTTTTGCATGTGCTGTGCCCTTGCCTGAGTGCTCCTTCTGACTGGCTCCTCCCCTCATTTCCCCTCTTAATTTCGATTTCCCCTTCAGATCCAACCTAAAGCTTCACTTCCCAAAGATACCTGTGTGGAACCCCCTAGCCTAAACCATGCCTTTGTTATAACTCACAAAGAGTCATGGGCTTTTCCTTCTGAGCACTTTCATCAATATGGAATGACACACTTAATACTCTTCTGCCACACTCTTTGCTTGAAATCTTACCTTTTTGCTTATTAATGCATCTCTGTGCCTAGCCCAGTTTCAGGTGAATGGTAGGTATGTAATACATCTTAGTTTAATAAAGTAAGGAATTAATGAAAACTGGGAATAATTTAATGATATTTCAAAGGAAGTAGGTTCTCAGAACTGAAAACCTCCATCGGTAGCAAAAAATTTTTATTTCAGTGTGTATATATTAGGACTGCTGAGCCTCAGATTAATTATTTGCATACTAATATTCTTGTTCCTTTGATGATCCAGCATCAGTGCCTTGGAAATTCAGCAAGGCATGTAAATTAAATTATGCTTTTTTATATTAATGTACAGAACAGTTCTCTGAGAAGCATAATAAATTTTCTATTACTTACAGATTAAATTTGTCTTTTTCTCGCTGTTCTTTGCTAGAGTTAATCATGTTTACCTTTCCAAAGGTCTTATGCATCGAAAAATAATAATTAAATATCCTACTCTAGATAATTTAAATGCCAAAAGAAGTTTTGTTTTCATTGAAAGCCTGAATCTCATAAAAAGAATACTGCTTTTAAAAATCAGTTACCAATACAAAGAATTCACACTGTAAGTTCTTTCTTAAACGTGACTTTTTTTTGTTTTATCAGTTTGCAGGTTTTAAATGAAAGTCAAATATACCATTGTCTAACTTTTTCTATTTACAGATAATTCTGAGTTCCTTTGCCTAATTACTGGAATGAAAAGAACATTGAAATCACTTGCTCTAATCTCTTCTTAAGGCAGAAATCAGAAAGAATACGAGGTAAACTAGGAAAGTTGAAAAATAAAAAAGCTAAGAGGTAAAACTGAAGACAAAAAGCAGCAAAATTTTTTTTGGTTAGTCCTTTTATTTTAACTTTTATTTTATTTTCGGGGGCACATGTTCAAAGTTGTTATATAGGTAAGCTGTGTGTCATGGGGGTTTGGCATACAGATAATTTCATCACCTGGATAATAAGCACAGTACCTGATAGGTATTTTTATGTGATCCTCTCACTCCTCCCACCCTCAACCTTCAAGTGGGCTCCAGTGTCTGCTGTTCCCCTTCTAGTACCCACATGTCCTTGTTGTTTAGTTCCCACTTATAAATGCAAACGTGGTATTTATTTTTCTGTTCCTGTGTTACTTTGCTTAGGATAATGGCCTCCAGCTCCAACCATGTTGCTGCAAAGGATGTGATCTTGTCTTTTTCACAGCTGCATAGTATTTCATGGTGTACGTAACATTTTCTTTGTCCAGTCTGTCGCTGACGGGCATTTAGGCTGATTCCATGTTTGTGCTATTGTAAATAGTATTGCAATTAATATATGCATCCATGTATCTTTATGGAAGAGCAATTTCTTTTCCTGTGGGTATATACCCAGTAATGAGATTGCTGGGTCTGATGATAATTCTGTTTTAAGTTCTTTGAGAAATTGTCACAGTGCTTTCCACAATGGCTGAACTAATTTACATTACCACCAGCAGTGTAGAAGCATTCCCTTTTCTCCACAGCCTCACCAGCATTGGTTATTTGTTGACTTTTTAGTAATAGCCATTCTGACTGGTATGAAATGGTATCTCATTGTGCTTTAGATATGCATTTCTCTAATGATCAATGATGTTAAGCATTTTTTCATGTTTGTTGGCCGCAGGAATGTCTTCTTTTGGGAAGTGTCTGTTCATGTCCTTTGCCCACTTTTTTTTTTTTGGAGATGGAGTCTTGCTCTGTCTCCTAGGCTGGAGTGCAATGGCATGATCTTGGCTCACTGCAATCTCTGCCTCCCGGGTTCAAGCAATTCTCCTGCCTCAGCCTCCCAAGAATCTGGGACTACAGGCACCTGCCACCATGACCGGCTAATTTTTATATTTTTAGTAGAGAAGGGGTTTCACCACATTGGCCAGGCTCGTCTCGAACTCCTGACCTTGTGATCCGCCTGCCTCAGCCTCCCAAAGTGCTGAGATTACAGGCTTGAGCCACCGTGCCTGGCCCAGCCTTTTGCCCAATTTTTAATGGGATTGTTTCTTTTTAATCTGTAAAATTGTTTCAGTTTCTTATAGGTTCTGGATATTGGGCCTTTGTCAGATGCATAGCTTACAAATATTTTCTCTCATTCTGTAGTTTGTCTGTTTATTCTGCTGATAATCTGTTTCATTTAATTAGATCCCATTTTTCAATTTTTGGTTTTGTTGTTTGCTTTTGGTGTCTTCATCATGAAATCTTTGCCAAGTTCTGTGTCCATAATGATATTTCCTAGGTTATCTTCCAGAGTTTTTATAGTTTTAGGTTTTACATTTAAGTCTTTAATCCATCTTGAGTTGATTTTTATATGTGGTGTAAGGTAGGCGTCTAGTATCAGTCTTCTGCATATGACTAGCAAGTTATTCCAGCACCATTACTTATTGAATGAGGAGTCCTTTCTTCATTGCTTGTTTGTGTCAGCTTTGTCCAAATTCAGATGGTTGGGTGTGGCTTCATTTCTGGGTTGTCTATTCTGTTCCATTGGTCTATGTGTCTGTTTCTGTACCAATACCTTGATGTTTTGGTTACTGTATTCCTATAGTAGAGTTTGAAGTAGAATAGCATTATGCTTTTGGCTTTGTTCTTTTTGCTTAGAATTGCCTCAGCTATTCAGGCTCTTTTTTGGTTCCATAGGAATTTTAAAATAATTTTTTTTCTAATTCTGTGAAGAACGTTCGGTATGGTTAGTCTTTGTCTCCCCACCCAACTCTCATCTTGAATTGTAATTCCCATAATCCCATAATCCCCACATGTCAAGGGTGGGACCAGGTGGAGGCAACTGGATCATGGAGTCAGTTTCCCTCATGCTGTTCTCATGATAATGAATCTGATGGTTCTCATGAGATATGATGGTTTTATAAGGGTCTCATCCCCCTTCACTCAGCATTTTTCCATCCTGCCGCCTTGTGAAGAAGGTGCTTGTTTCTCCTTTGCCTTCTACCATGATTGTAAGTTTCCTGGGGCCTCCCCAGCAATGTGGAACTGTGAGTCAATTAAACCTCTTTCCTTTAAAAATTACCCAGTCTTGGGTATTTCTTCCTAGTGGTGTGAGAACAGACTAATATAATGTCACTGGTAGTTTACTAGGATAGCATTGAATCTGTAATTTGCTTTGGGCAGTATGGCCATTTTAATAATATTGATTCTTCCCAGCCATGAGCATGGAATGTTTTTCTACTTGCTTGTGTCATCTCTGATTTCTTTCAGCAGTGTTTAGTAATTCTTGTTGTAGAGATCTTTCACCTCCCTTGTTAGCTGTATTCCTAGGTATTTTATTCTTTTTGTGGCAATTATGAATTAAACTGTGTTCCTGATTTGCCTATTTGGATGTTGTTGGGGTATAGAAATGCTACAGATTTTTGTATGCAGATTTTGTATTCTGAAACTTTACTGAAGTTGTTTATCAGCCCAAAGAGATTGGGCAGAGACTATGGAGTTTTCTAGATATAGAATCATGTTGTCTGCAAACAGGGATCCCCTGAGTTCTCTTCTTATTTGGATGCCCATTCTTTCTTTCTCTTGCCGATTTCTCTGGCTAAGATTTTCAATATCATGTTGAATAAGAGTGATGAGGGAGGACAACCTTGTCTTATGCCAGTTTTCAAGGGGAATACTTCCAGTTTTTCTCCTTTCAGTATAATGTTGGCTGTGGGTTTATCATAGATGACTCTTATTATTTTTGAAATATGTTCTTTCAGTGCCTAGTTTGTGAAGGGTTTCCAACATCAAGGAATGTTGAATTTTATTGAAAGCCTTTCTGCATCCATTGAGTAATTGTAGTTTTTGTCTTCAGCTCTGTTGATATAATGAATCACATTTATTGATTTGCATATGTTGAACCAACCTCATATTCTGGGGATAAAGCCTACTTGATTGTAGCTGATTAGCTTTTTTATGTGCTGCTGGATTCAGTTTGCTTGTATTTTGTTGAGTATTTTTGTATCTATGTTCATCAAAAATATTGGCCTGAAGTTTTCTTTTTTTGTTGTGTCTCTGCCAGGTTTTGTTATCAGGATGATGCTAGCCTCATAGAATGAGTTGATGAGAAGTCCTTCTTCCTCAGTTTTTTGGAACAGTTTCAGCAGGATTGGTACCAGCTCTTCTTTATACATCTGGTAGAATTTGGCTGCAAATCCATCTGGTCTTGGGCTTTTTCTGGTTGGTGGGCTTTTTGTTACTCATTCAATTTCAGAACTCAATGCTGAGTTCAGGGATTCAATTTCTTCCTGGCTCAGTCTTCAGAGGTTGTATGTGTCCCGGAATTTATCCATTTCTTCTAAATTTTCTAGTTTGTGTGCATAGAGGTGTTCATAATAGTCACCGTTTGTGTACGTGTGTGTAATTCTGTGGGGTCAGTGGTAATGTCTTAATTTTTAAAGATGAGTTTACATTTCCTTCAACATAAAATAATTTTGGGGACACAGTCCAAATAGATTTGAAATATATATCTATTTATATATATATAATATATAATAAATTATATATTATATAAAATATATTTATATAAATATATAAATATATTGATATATAAATATATATCAATTATCATGCCTTATATATAAATATATTTATATATTATATAAATATATAATGATATATAAAAATATATATAAGGCATGATAATTGATGCCAAGAAACAGCATAATCATTTATTTATTTGTTTGTTTATTCTATTTTAGCCTCTATGACTTTAGCATTGACTGAGTTTAGTGCTATTAGACCACATTTTGGGACCATAATGAAAGCTAATAAATCTCTTCGTCATTTCATAATAGACTTCTTGTTTATTTTAGATTTTATTGGTCTTTATTAAAAAAAATAAATTAGCCATGTATTTTTGTTGTAAGAATAATCCATCATTATAACATTGGGAAGATATCCCATATTATTAAAACTACTTAATATCGATAGAGTATTAAATCATCAAATTGTATAACAACAAACTTTTTACCATTAAGAAAATGGAACTGACCCATCAAAATATATAAGCACTAATTCGGATTAAGTCAACAATACATATTGACTTGCAAGAAAGTTGGCTTGCTAGGAAATGTTATCCCTTGAGGTGATATAATGGTGGATGTGAGGGAAAAATGTACCCCCATGGACATGAATGCCATAAGCTTTATTATGCAAAAGCTTAGTGGATTTTGCTGGGCGCGGTGGCTCATGCCTGTAATCCCAGCACTTTGGAAGGCCGAGGCAGGTGGATCCAAGGTCAGGAGTTCAAGACCAGCCTGACCAACATGGTGAAACCCCGTCTCTACTAAAAATACAAAAATTAGCCGGGCATGGTGGCACGTGCCTGTAAACCTAACTACTCAGGAGGCTGAGGCAGGAGAATTGCTTTAACCTGGGAGGTGGAGGTTGCAGCGAGCTGAGATCACGCCACTGCACTCCAGCCTGGGTGACAGAGTGAGATTCCGTCTCAAAAAAAAAAAAAAAAGCTTAGTGTGTTTTAAGATGACTAAATTTGAGATAAAGAGCATAAGAATTATGAACTGGATGACAGGGTAAAAGAATTCATAGCAATTCTAATCAGTTGCAGACCAACCATCACATTGGTGTTCTACTAATTTGATGTAAAGTATATCTCCTACAGTTAAAAAAAAGTTGCCACTTCCATTGTCATTATAGTTTTACTTTTTCTTTTGCAGTTTCTTTATGACATTGTTTTGGGTTGCATGGAAATATTCTATTCATGCAGTTATTGCTAAATTGGCCGAAGAACTCAATGCAGTTAGAAAGCAAACAGCTGAAAGAAAGAGACTGTCTTTGCTATACATAAGGATGGGAGATTATGTTATAGCAAGCACTGATGAGGCTACAAAAGGAACCACTTGTTCTGCTTTGTGATTTGAGAGTGAATGTGAAATGCAATGGTCTATTGGCTAGCTCACCTGATGTTTCTTGTTATTTGTAAAAATATGGTAGAACTAGCAAAGAAGAGAAACATTCCCAAGAAGGGCACTCTGAAGGTCAGGCAAATTTTTCCTCATTGCCTGAAGTTATTTCCAAGGAAAAATGTTTCAAAGGTGTGAAAAACAGCAACTTTTGTATGAATTATTACTAAGTGACATAGTCATAGAATAAGAACAGTCTAAGTTTCATTCCTTTAGACATTAGGGAGATTTTTAAAGATACTCTGGTTGTTTTGTCATCCTATCTTCTGATATTTTTCCAGCTTTCATTGTTAAGGTATTAAACCCTGATCCTGCTGTCAAATATTATTTCTATATCTCAAGAATATAGGGTTTTGGCTAAACTAAATAATATCAGCTAATTTAACAAGAAATCACCAAATTCGTAGTGATACCTTATAATAAACAATTGCAGGCATTCAGTAAGCAACCTCCCATGCAATGATTAACCGCCCAGAGTCCCTCTAGTCTACTGTACTTGAATCTCTGCTCAAAATCGGGCTAATAACCTGGGGAAAATGTTGGGGAGGGTCTTGCAGAAAGTTTTTTTTGAGCAAAGTCCAGGGGTGGTATATGTAACACTTCAGTGCCCATGCCACTGACCATAACTCATGGTTACGGTGTTGTAATGGAAGCCAGTGGGTTAGCTTCTGTCTCACAATTTGGGGGAAATCAGGAGTCTAGGCACGGCTTACCTGGGCCCTCTGTTCAGAATCTCACAAGGCTGAGATAAAGGTTTTGTCTAGACTCCATTTTCATCTGGAAACTCAACTGGATCAGAATCTGCTTCAAAGCTCTCTCATGTTTGTGCCAGAATTCATTTCCTTAAGGATGTATGACTGAAGACCCCAACATTTTTTTCTGGCCATCAGCTGGAGCCTGCTCACAGCTTCTAGAAGCCACCTGCAGTACCTTGTCAGATGGACTGCCTCAACATGGTTGCTTACTTCATAAAAGCCAGAAAGACAAATACTTTCTTTCTCTCTCTCCCTCCCTCCCTCCCTCCCTCTCTCTCTGTCTCTCCCTCTTTTTCCCTTTCTCCCCCTCTCTCGGTTGCTAAGTGAGAATGATGTAACGCAATCATGGAATCACAGGAATGGAATCACAGAAGTGGCATCTCATCATCTTTGTCATATTCTATTGGTCAGTAGCAAGTCATAGGTTCTACCAAGGAGTTTTCACTAATAACAGTGAGATACACAGAGTAGTGATCCAATGAAAAGAAATGGCCATGAAACAAATATTCAAAAGAATAAGTACGTCATACAAACTCTTGCTACAGAAGGAAAGAATAAAGTGTTCTCAGGACATGTAATAGAGGGAGACATCTGGTAGCATTGAAGATATCCCCGGCAAGGATGAGATTTGAACTGAAATATGAAAGAAGAGAGAGAGTTTAATTAAACAGCATAGAGAAGGGAAAAGTGAAAAATTCTGAGAGTGAACTGTATCTTCCAAAGCTCTGTGGTAGGATAAAAGCATGGCACATTTAAGAAATGGAAGGAAAGCCCGCGTGTCTGAAGGAGAGAAACAGAGGGAGAGGAAGGTCAAGGCACTGGATAAGGAGAGCAGACCCCAGGTATTTCAAGGCTTTCTAGACCTGCTGGCTTGATGCTAAGAGTCATGGGAGGTCATTGAAAGGTTTTAAAAAGGAGAGTGACCCAATCAGATCGTATTTATATGAGATTATTGTGCAATTACTATACTAAAAAATGCACTTTTGAGCATTTAATCCCAGAAGTAGGAAAGTTTAGCCACACAAAAACCTGTACATAAACATTGATAGCCGATTTATTTGTAAGACGTCAAAACTGAAAACAACCCAAGTGACCCTCGATGGGTGACTGGTTAAACAAACTGATGTATGCATACCACGGAATATGATGGGATATGAGTCAGCAATTTAAAAAATGTGAGCTATTGAGACACACAACTATTTGATTGAATCTCAAGGAAATTATACTAAATGACAAAAGCCAATTCCAAAATGATTTCATTTATATAACCTTCTTGAAATGAAAAAATTATAGAAAAGTAAGACAGATTAGTGGTTGCTGGGGTTTAGGGATGGGGAGAAGCAGGTAATGGGAAAGAGGTGGGTAATTATAAAGAGGCAAAAAGAGGGATCATTGCGGTGATGGGGCTGGTCTGTATTTTGACTGTAGTGGTAGATGTAGAAGCCTACGTATGTGACAAAACTGCATAGAAATAAATACACATATACACACACACAAACACGTGTTCACACACACACAGGAGCAGAAGTCAAACTGGAAAAATCTAAACTGGATTGGTAGATTGTATCAATGTCAATATCTTGCTACTGAAATTGTTCTATAGTTTTGCAATATATTACTATTGAAGGAAGCCGGGTAAAGAGTACAAAAGATCTCTTCATGGTATTTCTTACAACTGTGTGTAAACCTACAATTATTTAAAATATGTATTTTTTTAATCTAATTACATACAGTCATTGCAATGGCCAAGAATGGATACTAGGAGAAGAGTCAAGGGGCTTTTTTAGTTGTTCAGTGGAAAAATGGTGATAGCTTAAACCTAGAGGTTGAAGAAATGGGGACAAATTAATACATTCAATCATGATTTAGGATGAAAAATATATTTGGTTTAGTAATTTGGGAGCTGGAATGAGAGAGAGAATTATCAGGAGCTGCCCTAATTTCTTAAAATATAGCATTAAAAGTTTTCTCACCTTCATGATTTTGCCTAGGATCTCATTGAAAAACTGTCTTCTCCGCATCTCATGCTGGCGGAAAAGACTCTCTCTAAATACTGGGATTTAGTGTGTACCAGTCTCATAGCCCTTATCACTGTGACCTTGTGTTTTACATCTTTGTATACCTACCTTAGCTCTCTGATGATAGATAGTAAATTTCTTAAGAGATTATGTCCAATGAAAGTGTATAGTCCCTATGACAGCCAGCACCGGGCCTTAGACATCAGTAGCATATTTTTAATGAAATACTGTATGTATGTGCACATGCTAGGAGTCCATGTCCCTGCATAACAATTTTATTTGGTGCTAATTAACTGCAACAAATAAAATTACAGAAGAAATTAGGACTATTCTTCTGGCTGTTGTGTCTGACTTTTGGTGGTCTGCTAAAGTGTTTATTTAGATCAGAGTTCATTGACCCTAAAGTTGAAAAGGTGTTTTCGGGAGACCTTGTCATTTATTATCTCATTTATGTTTATAGAGTTGAAGTGTCATGCGGCCTTGCTGTAGACCTGCGTGCCAACGGTGACAGAGAAGGAAATAGTGACTGGGTTGCCCAAGAGGTGATTTACTTTGAAGAGCATCTGGTTAGGAGGAACTCATCTCAGTGAGGGATAAAAGTTGTTTCTAACTGACTGAAAGCAAATCATTCAGGATTTTCTGGTACAAAACAATATGAATTTATTAGCAGATCGATGGTAAGTTTGAAAACACATGAGGACCCTGATACAAAGTCCTGATAAGACCAAAGAAGCTAAAGCCAAAGAAATCATTGCCATCCCTGCATATTTGAGCCATGCTCATTCCATGTCATGAAAACACATTGTGAGAGAAATTACATATCCACAGTGAAGTCTCTTCTTTATAAAAAGCATATTTTTCTTATTTTAACATGAGAGATGTTTGAGAGATGCCAGAAGAATGTTGCAAACACTGTGAGCAACTAAGAAAACTATGAAAAAAATTGTTAAGAAAATATTAAAGGGCAATATCAGAATATCATGGGGTGTTGCTACATAGACCAGTGGTTTTAAATCAGGCTGCATATTAGAATTACTTAAGGGCTTTAAAAATCAAAACAACCAGACACAAACCCCAAATTTGAATCAGAGTACTTGAGATAAGACCTTTGCCTTTTTTATCATTTATTAATATTGTTATTATTATTATTATTATTAAAACACCCCAGGGATTTCTAATGTGCAGTAAGGTTTGGGAAACACTGACTTGGACCAACAGGCAGATTAAAAATTTTAAAATGCTGCATTTGGTCCAGAAAAATATTTTCCTCCATTTATCATTCTCTCATCTTTCCTAAATAATAGGTTCCCTGTAGATCAAATGTCATGAATTGCTACCTTTTCTCTTTGCCAAGAATTCCAGAAGTTCAGGATGAAGAATAGATCTCTCCATAATTGTTATTTGACTCAAGACAAGGAAATTGTTAGAAATATAAGTATTCCAAAGAAAGCTATACCATCAGATGCAGAAAAAGAAAAAGAAACCCAAACTTCAGTTTTTTTTTTTTTTGTCTGTTCATAGTCCTAGATCCCAACATGAATATGTCCCATCAAATGGATTTGTTAGCCTGGTTCAAAAGTGACAGCATAGTCATAAGGATAGAGCTCATCTTAACCCACTTTTTTGGAAAATGATTGTAAACACAGATGATTTAAGGAGGTGCTGGGTACATTACTTTCCAAATAATGTAAACAGTGTCTTAATGACATCCCTAGACAATATTCCAAAGAGCACTCCATCACATAGTGCCATTATAGATTTGCCTCCAAACGATGGAAAAGACCAAATCTTTTAAACAAAGGAATCAACCAGCATCAGGGCATGGTGAGACCATGAGCAAATAACCAGAACTCTCCCAAGATAAAAGGCAGAATGACAACCTTTGAATCACTAGACACCAGATGCATTCTGAGTAGTACCAAATTCCTCTGATGTGAACTAGATTAATACCATGAGTAATCACCGCCAAGGTTAGCCATTTATCTCTTCTATGTTGCTTGGGAAAGCTTTGAGATGTGAGAGAATAGAGGTAGCCTGAATAAACTTGGTAGCAGTAAAATGGGAAAAAGCTTAGGAATTTATTATACCTTTGATATGTCTGCATTCTTCCTTAGAAGCATAACTCATAGTTAAAAGTTAATTCATTCAGTATCTCTTGAATCCTAAATAAATCCTTCGGCAGGATAGGTGTGTGGGGAATACTGAGATCATTTACAAAGATTCTGTGTCCTTAAATAACTCATATTCTGTTGAAGAAGTGGGAAAAAAAATTGATTGTGAAAGTATCTGCATGATTAAACCTTTGATATAGAAATGGAACTAGAGGTTGCCAGGTGTCAGCCCCAGCGGAATGAGGAGGAAGGAACCATGAAATACAATAGTCTTGGAATTGCCTCAACCATTTGTTGTGATATAGTGTTCCCCTGAGTAATCTTAATCAATGTTACACAGTTCAATTTTATAGCAAAGAAGTCTCTATATCAAAAACTAAAGACAGGACAGAAACATTACCCACACTGTGTGTGTTCTCTCAACAAAATCCTGGTCAGTGTGATTCAAAAAGGAAGAAAGTCCCAACTGTGAGTAAACCTTTGGAAGTCAGAAGTTCAGCCACAGAATCTGGTCACATGCCTTGTCCAAGAAGTCTGCTTTTGAATCAGTTTGCACTATTACCATCATCACTTGAGGAGGGTCTTCTGCCCTAGTTGTCCAAGTTACAGAATATATTATCCATCCAGTTCTGGCCAAACATGAACAATTTGCCTACTGAAAAAAAAAAAAAAAAAGCAAATACGAACAAATATTGTTGATATATTTGAAACAAGAGAACTAGATTTTTTTTTTGAAAAAGCATATCTATGGGAAGAGTGGAAGAGGAAATTGATTCTTGCAGGAAATTTCATATCCTCGAAGAGATTCTTGCTAAGCATTTTAGTAGTAGAGATATCACTTAAAGAAAGGGTTCATCTAGCAGTGATAAAAGAGTGACTACTGGCTGGGCGCGGTAGCTCACGCCTGTAATCCCAGCACTTTGGGAGGCCAAGGTGGGCGGTTCACGAGGTCAGGAGTTCGAGAATAGCCTGACCAACATGATGAAACCCCATCTCTACTAAAAATACAAAAATTAGCCAAGCGTGGTGGTGCACACCTGTAATCCCAGCTACTCAGGAGGCTGAGGCAGGAGAATCACTTGAGCCTAGGAGGCAGAGGTTGCAGTGAGCCAAGATCGCGCCACTGCACTCCACCCTGGGCAACAGAGCGAGACTCCATCTCAAAAAAAAAAAAAAAGAGTGACTACTAAGTAGTTAATCTAAGAAGTAAAACCCAAATTTGTTTTCAATACTAAGAAAATCCCCTTTAGAGAGATGATGGATTTCTGAAGTCTTCGTTATTCATGGTAGCTGCAGCACAAGATCCCAAGATATGGATAAGGACCTGGAGAGCCAGGCAATTGTAAGACTCTGATCACCTATCAAATTGGCAGACACTTTAAAAGAATTTTTGGCAACAGTGCAGAAAGAAAGTAATAATCTTGTAAACTAATGGCAGAAATGTGGCAACATACATTAAAATGTTAACATTCCTATTTTTGACCAGAAAGTCCACATCTGAGAATGCATGCTATGGAAATAATCAGCAAATGTGCAAAGATATTTGTAGAAATGTACCCATCCTAATGTTGTATGTAATTTAAAAAATTGGAAATAACTCAATGACCATAAGGAGATTAGTTACATAAATTATGGAAGAGCCAAGAGAAAAACAGGTGGCCATCAAAGAGCAAGATGAAAATCTTAACCTGTTGTGTACATTAAAAGATGTAGATTATATTTTTACAATCAAATAAAAATGCTTATACTAGATAGTATGAAGAGTAAACAGAGAAATCTCCAGAGGGCATCAATTTAAATATTAAAGAATATGTAATAGACTGAGTGTGGTGGCTCATGCCTGTAATCCAACACTTTGGGAGGTGGAGGCAGGAGGATCACTTGAGGCCAGGAGTTTGAGACCAGCCTGGCAACCTATCCAGACCTTGTCTCTACCAAAAATTTTTTAAATTGCCCAGGTGTGGTGGAGATCAACTGTGGTCCCATCTACTTGGGAGGCTGAGGAGGGAGGATCACTTGAATCCAGAAGATCAAGGCTGCAGTAAGCTATGATTGCACCACTGCACTCCAGCCTGAGTGACAGAGCAAGACTATGTTTTAAAATAAAAAAAGCCCAAAGGGGGAAAAAAGGAGAGGAAAAATAAAAGATGTATAATAAAAGGTTGGCAATAATTATCACTGGGTATAGGGCATATAATCTTGAGATACTTTATATCTTTCAATACGTATTTCTATATTTATTTTCTTCATTTTGTATTTCTATATTTTCTTTAACATTTTAATAAAAATGTAACATTTTATCACTAAAAAATGAAAGGACTATTCCTATTTTGTTAACTCTTAAGTTAACAGGCTGAAATTTCAGATGTTTTTATAATGGCTGTATTAATTTATCAGTGCTTATCAGAGGTCAGAAACAAGGAAGGGGTTAGAAATCCTGAGTGCCCCATCAGTTAGGAATCAGCAATCAGATTGTAAGGTTAAGAATTTCACAGAACTTCAAAAGCACAGGCAACGAAAGTAAAAACAGAAAACTAGGATTGCAATAAACTAAAAGCCTACTGCACAGCAAAGGAAACAGAGTGAAGAGACAACCTATGAAATGGGAGGGAAAATTCTCAAAACACACATGTGATAATGGGTTAATATTCAACGTATATAAGAAACTCAAACAATTCAGTAACGATGAAACAAACAACCCAATTTAAAAATGGGCAAGGAACCTGAAGACATTTTTCAAAAGAAAACATACAAATGGTCTATAGATATATGGAAAAATATTCAGTCTCTCAAATCATCAGATATATGCCAATTAAAATGACAATGAGATATCACCTCACACCTATTAGAATAGTTATTGTGAAAAAGATGAGATAACAAGCATTGGCAAGGATGTGGAGGAAAGGGAACTTTTGCACATTGTTGGTGGGAATGTAAATTAGTACAGCCGTTGTGGAAAAAAACATGGAATTCCTCAAAAAATTAAAAATAAAACTACCATATGATCCAGCAATTCTACTTCTGGGTATATATTCAAAGAAAATAAAATCAGTTTTTTGAAGAGAGATCTGCCCTCTCATGTTCATTGCAGCATTATTCACAACAGTCACAATATGAAATCCACCTAAGTATCCATCAATGGATGAACGGTTAAAGAAAATGTAGTGTATGTACACAATGGACTATTATTCAGCCTTAAAAAAGAAGAACCTGCTTTTTGCAGGAACATGGATGAACCTGGGGGATATTATGCTAAATGAACTAAGTTAGG
This sequence comes from Homo sapiens, assembly GCF_000001405.40. NCBI lineage: Eukaryota > Metazoa > Chordata > Mammalia > Primates > Hominidae > Homo > Homo sapiens. Next base: position 17,813,700 of record NC_000005.10, on the reverse strand, counting down.
CACAAAAAACCAAATACTACATGATCTCACTTATGTGTTGAATCTAAAAAATGAAACTTACAGAAGCAGAAATTAGAATGTTGGTTAGCCCCCAGGGACTAGAGGTGCAAGATGGAGATTAGGAAAATTTGAGGAAAAGGATACGAAATTTCAATTGGATAAGAGGAGTATTTCAGGAGATCTATTGTACAACATGGTGACTACAGTTAATAGCAATGCATTGTACATGTAAAACTTGCCAAGAGAGTAGATTTTACCACACACAAAAAAATGATAAGTATGTAAGGTAAAGCATATGTTAATTTGCTTGACTCAGCCATTCCAAAGTCGTAGCATCAACATCCCCAAGCCTTCAGAGTCAGCCTCAACTCTCTCCCTCATTACTCCACCGGTACTATAAATTCCGCCTCCTAAACATTTCACATATTTCTTCTCCACTTTCCACCTTTACTGCCACTACCGTGGTTTCAACTTTATTATTTCTTTAGGTTATTTCACTAGCCCTTCAATGGCCACCAAGTCTTACATCAAGCTAACCTCCCTCCTGATATGCATATCTAATCACGTCATTCCTCTGTTTAAAATTCTTCATGGGGTTCTCATTGCTTTCAAATTCTTCATGGCCTGTTCTTACCTTTCCAGACTCAGCTATCCTTACATCCACACATATACTGCACTCCTGTGTCTCCTAAAAGTATTTCCTTCCTTTTGCCTCCATTCATTTGTTCATGATTCTACTGTTAAGATTCATCTTAGTAAAAACCCACTCCAGAGACAGTGGAAAATTAACTGAGAGTTCCTCACAGAGAAGAGAACTCCATAGTAGGAGAGTCACTATATGGGAAGCCGTAGGTCATGTAATCCTGTAGAGGACAGGAATCATTTTTGAGTAAAATCAAGATCAATTAAGCCATATGGAAGTTTATGGCAAAACAATATTACTCATAAAGAAAACAAAACAAGGGGAGAAATAGAAGTTAATGGTGGTTCTGATGGTCCTGGGGCTGTGCTCGGTGGCTCATGCCTGTAATCCCAGTGCTTTGAGAGACTAAGGCAGGAGGATTGCTTGAGCTCAAGAGTTTGAAACCAGGCTGGGCAATGTAGTGACAGTGAGATCCTGTCTCTATTTATATATTACATATATAACAAAATAGATATATAAATATTATATATATTAATAGATATGTACATATTATATATAATATATAGATATATAAATAGGAAGGAGGATTAGTTGAGCTTATGAGTTCCAAACCAGGCTGGGCAATATAGTGAGAGTGAGATCCTATCTCTATATATATTTTTATATATATATATATATTTATATATATATATTTATATATATATATTTATATATATATTTATATATATATATTTATATATATATTTATATATATATATTTATATATATATTTATATATATATATTTATATATATATTTATATATATATATTTATATATATATTTATATATATATTTATATATATATTTATATATATATTTATATATATATTTATATATATATTTATATATATATTTATATATATATTTATATATATATTTATATATATATTTATATATATATTTATATATATATTTATATATATATTTATATATATATAAAATCTCTTTTATGTTATCAGGATCACTATTTTTTGTGTGTATGTATATATATGTATATACACACACACATGCACACATACACAAAAATTATGTGTGTGTCTGTATATATATGTATATGCATACAAAAAATAGTGATCCTGATAACATAAAGTAAGAAGAAATAAAGTTTAAAAAAGAGGCCTTGCCCAGTAATTCAAACTTGAGACAATAAATTGGAAGTTAGTTGTGGTAAGTTGCTTTTATTTAGAAACTGGCTCAAGGAAATGAGGGTAAAACCAGTGTAATTGCAGAGCACAAGCTGGAGTGGCTGGAGAGCTCATAATGATGCTTCCAATGGTCACTTCTACCAGTCTCTTCGGCCATGGTTGACTGATCTAGTGCAGAGACATATGGCCCAACCTAGATAAAAATTCTCTCTTTGGAATTTACAAAGTAGAACAGGCACAACCAGAGGCAAAAGACAGAGTGAGTATAGTCCATCATGGAAATGACTTAATGATTTGCTGCTTCTGGCCTCTCCAGCACAACCTTGGTTGCCTTCCCTCTGGAGGTTTGGTCTGGATTGTCCACGGTCCACCACCAAATATCCTTTGTGACTTGAGTACACCAAAAGGTCTTCAAATTATTTGAGAACAAATCAAGTTAGAGATCAATATGTTTAATATGAGTTCTTCTGTGTGAAAATAGAGAGGTACTTAAAATTTAGATTTAAAACAACAGCAGAATGAATCCTGATCCCATGAATGTGTTGCTTTCCAATGTTGGTGGGAAGTGCCCGCGGACTTCATGCCTGTAAGCTGCTCTCCTGATTGGTGCTGTGGCCTCTAATGGTCATCAAGCAACTTAATCATAGGTGTTGCAGAAATACGCAATAGAGATGAGGAGACATCTGGGAGGATTGCCATTCTTTGAGGGGTAGGGTGTGTTTGAGGCAAGTGTTAGGGACAATGGTCTGTAGTACAAAGCACTGAGGGTGATTCAGATTCAGTGTGAGTAGATGCTGGAAGAATCTCTCCATTTGAAAATACTTTCTAATAGATCCTTCAACCCACAGGTGCATTATCCTCCATGACAGTACTTAACCTACAGAGACCACTGACTGCCTTATATGTCTCCCTCACAAAGCTGAGCTCATGGTACAGAGGGACTGCATGTTCATCTCTGGGTGCCCAGCGCTGAGCAGAGTACCTCATACAAGAGAGACCATAAATGTTGCTGAAAGCACATTGAATAAACAAGGGCACCAGAACACTATTTGGAGCACAAAAGTAGTATTTTAATCTAATCTAGGTAAATGTGGAAGAGAATGGCAGAGGCAAATAAAGAAAATAAAGGTGTTTCTCAAAAAGCAAATAGAATGCCTTTGCATAACATTATTTTTCAGACTGAAAATAATTGCCATATTCTTCTAACTTTCAGACATTACATTGATGCTGGAAATAGGAGAGAAAAAAAGCAAATTAATCATGCTTGTAGCAAATGCAAGTATGTGTTTTCTTCTTTTGTCAAATCCCTGTATTCTAGAAGAATAACGTCTCTGTGCTCCTCCTGCATGTTTGTGATGTCTAGTGAAGTGTTAATCTTTAACTACAGCAGGGATCAATCACAATGTGCTTAACAAAAAAACATAATCCCCCTGCCTTCACACCATGTAAAATATTTGCACTGCTTTATTGGACACTGCTAACTGTACTTTTTAAAAACTGTCTATTCATGATTTGGCCGTATCTTAAAATTTTCCTGTATCTATCAATGAAATGTGTATTTGAAAATATGATTTCCACCTTTGAAATCTCAGGATGCACAATCACTAGAAAATAAGAAACTAGGGTAAATCTAATTTCACTAAGGTTTGTCTACAATCAAAACATGAGCTTAATCTCTAACGGAGGTCCTAGCGGTCCTGCAGTGGATATCAGCAGGATGTTATTCTTCAACTACAAACAACAAGTAAGATCGGTACAGAATGGGAGTTTAAGGTTCAGTTTCAATCAGTTTCTCTAGTACTTATAGAAGGATAATAAAAAGTAGTGTCAAAGAAATTGCCATGTATGATAAGGCTATTCCCATAATCTGTACAAAAGCTCCAGCACTACAGTGAATTTGGCAGAGCCTAGAGTTGCATTCTACTTGTCAAAAAACAAAACAAAACAAACAAACAAAAAATAGAACAAGAGCCCTCTTAGAGGCTTAATTTTAATGTATCAAAATATCATCTTTTTTTTCTCCCTAATACTCCAACGTTCAGAAAGGATATACGTCATTATTATAGAACTTTAGAGACACCACCGCATAGTGAGAAAGTATGCCTTTGGAATGAGCTACAACTCAATCTAAATACCAACTCTGCTACCTTTGGCCTCAGTCTACTCACCTGTAAAATGAGATAAATGATATCCATCTCATTGAGTTGACATGAGAAATGAAGCAAGTGGGATAATATGTAGAATTCCTAGTATAAGGTGACTATTTAAGAAATTTACCTGTGTGGGAGGCTAACTGATTTCTTCTAATGCATGAAGATATGAAATAAAAAGGGACAACATATAAAGGAAGAGAGGAAAGACAAGAAATACGGATCACAAAATATAAGAAAACAAATATCCTGGGGTCTAAATGTCAGGATTAAACGCCTGCATGGATTTCTGATGGTGTTCCCATATTATAGGGTCGGCCATCCCTCCATGACTCCTTGGGCCCTGTGGCATTCTGAAAATGATCACTTAGCCCCTGAATTAATGGCTTTATGGATCTGATAACAGCTTTGCTAACTTGTGCTCTTTCTTGTGCCATATCAGACAGAGTAAAAAAGGCCTGATGGAGATAACAGCTGGAATAATTATAAAAATACGTTTTCATCCACTGTCTTAGAGAATCTATGTTTTTACATATTGTCTTAAACTCCACTTGAAAAATATTTTCAATCTTTGAAAATATCTGAGATTGAAAATGTTTTTCATTTTTTATTCATTATTGTGCACATTCCTCCATTTAACTGTTATGTTTGTGCCTTTAAGGTCTGGACCTAAGTTTTTCAAACATTTGGAAAATATCCTGTATAAATAAACAAATATGGTAAGAGTATTTATTAATTGTCACTAATCTCATCATCTTGACCAGGAACTTAAAAAAGAAAAGAAAGGAATTTTGTCTCATTGATGCCCAGAGGAGCACTAATGAGTTATGAAACCTTTCAGAGTCATAGAGCAGAAGAAAAATGGTTGCCTAGGTAACAAGGCAACCCAGTCAGCTGCATACACTCTCCCAAGAGCATCTAATTTATTCAGCAAATGCAGGCTAGAACAGGTGGCTAACTTAGATGAGGCCAACAAGCTCTAGCTCCCAAACAACGGCACCCGCCACATTTTCTTGTACACAAGTTTCATTCTTGTCCCTTATAAAGGAAGAGTTAACAAGGTGCATTTCAGTGTGGCTCATAACACTTTAGGAGAGAGAACAGCTATCTGCATTTGTCACTTAAATTTTCTACCAAAAAAAGTATATGATTTCAAGAAATGGTTGAAGCCAACAACTTAATTTTACTAGTTATCTTGAAAACAGAAATTGTCCTAACCCCAGTTATAAAAATCAATTATTCATCTTTTAATAAATCAAATATTTTTGTGAGTGTTAATAGCAAGAACTTATCACTAAATTTTACAATTCTTGATTTAGATGATAAATAGCTGCTGAAATTCCAGTTCATTCAGGCATCTGAAAGCAGTTAGGTATTTGTAACAAATTTTATATTGTCAAAGGGGTAAGGGAGGAATAATACCAAGCTAGGCTCTATTTATTATAACATTAAATTTAAAAAATCTGAAAAACTAGCAGTAAAGTATATACTTATTTTTATATTAAGTAAGAACTTTTATGATCCAGGCCCAGTTTCATTTTCTGGCCTCCTGTCGAAACACATTTCATAATATATCCTAAACTTCATCAACAGAAGCCAAATGAAATCTCTTCCTCACCTCTCTGCACTTAGTATTTGCTGTTGTCTCTGTCTTGGGACTTCTAGGACTAGATTCCCTGTTCAGTTCTAATCCATGTTTCAAGGATAATATCGGGCATTTTCTTTCCCCAAATGCCTTCCCTCACCTCCCCAGGAAAAAATTATAAGCATTTCCTTGTGTTTCCTCTGCAAGTGATTCCACTGTTTTATTTCCGTATCTGCTTTCTTCTTCAGATTGAGTCCCCCAGAACTTAAATATGTTCTATTCACTTCTTATCCCCAGAGTACCTGAAACAGTAGAAAATCAAAGATATTTGACAAATGAATGAACAAATGAATACATGAATGAAATATTCTTTAGTGACACAAAAATGTGCATAAACCTAAGATATGACAAGACATTTTCAGAAATTAAAAAAATCTCACTAATGTGGACACATGAGTAATGAAGTGTGTTGCATGAGGAAAGAATCTACATTTTTTAGTGAGTGGAACCTTTCCCTCGAATGAAGCCATAAATGCAGCATCTCTTTTTAAACCTGATATCAATCCATCTCCATCCTGCTGTTCCTGCACAATCCCACACTCAAAGCATCTACCAAAAACCACAGATCTCCAAGAGCCAGAGCTTGAAAAATACTGGGCTCGACTTATTACACATTCAATTTTGCCTTGCTACTGCCCACTAAACAGAAATCACATAAGCAAACATTTGTTGAAAAGGATATTTAAAATAGAAGAGAGCATTTGCTAGGAAGTTCAGGTCTTGGTATTTCTCTATTGATCTGCTTTGAAGTCTTGCCGTTGTTTCCAAAGGTGACCCTTGCTGAGTGAGGCTGTTTCCTTAGCAACAGGATGACTGCTTCCAGCATGTAGAGAACATGCATCTCTGTTTCTGTGGTACTCAACCAACACCCTGAGACGCTATGCTGCTTCAAAGAAAGCAAGAATCTCTCCTTTTTAAGTACCAGATTGGCTCTCCAGCCTGTGAACTGCATATTACTCTGGAAAACTAGAAGTAATGATAATTGTCCAGAAATAATTTCCTCATCTCATAAAAAGGACACAACCTCTACACTGATGCACTTTTATTCTCCCTGCCTAATTACTCCATATGTCTGCCTATGCACAAGCACATACACATACATATGCGCACACACACACACCATTCTTTCTTCTTTGCTTTTTTTTTCATTTTCTGTGTTAAATTTCTGTACTGGCTATCAATTCTTTCTTTTATATTTTGCCTCGTTTCTATTTCCAGTGATGGCTTCTTCGTACATCTCAATTTCCAACACCAACCAAATTACAATTTAGAATTAAGCATCAACATATCATGACAAAAAAAAAAAACAAGGCTTGGTTGGAGCAACTGGCACTTGGTCAGCACACATAACCCCTTGCTATTGCAAAATGAGATGGAAACATATAGTAGACTGCAATTCATGTTGTTTATCATCAATTCTTCCATTAATTCACATTTGTTCATAATCTTTTAAACAGTATAGCAACACTTTGTTGTCCTTTATGCCTCCTAAGAGCAATTTTAAAATACTTTTCCTGCTATCAGTGAAAATTCTTTCTGGCAATTTCATACAATTGTGCAGTCATATCACAAAAGGGCTGGCAAACCTAGTGCATCAGCCATACCTCCATATTAATGGAATTATTTTTGTCTGAATTTTGTGCTCATAAAAGGGAAGAAAATTACTGAAGTTGTATAGGATTTTCTTGGGAAAAATTCTTCCTAAAAGATATTTCCCGGTATTCTATTTATGCTGTTCAGTAGGTAAACAAATAAACTAGACTTTTAGAATGCTAAGTAAATGAAGTTTTAGAATGCCATATCAAAATGCTCAAACTCATAGCCCAGCTTTTTCAATGTAGTATGCACAGAATCCTAAGCGTGAACAGGAAATGTGCGAAGGCTTCTTTTGCATCCAAAGTATCCATGGAATACAAATGTTAAAATACCGTTCGACAGAAGTGTTATAAATCCATGAATTTAAAATACATTTTATTCTAATAAACTTGGAAATTTATGCCTGCAATAGACCCAGGAAATAATGCAATCCCTTGTTTTATATATGAGAAAACAAACGCCAAGAATCAGTAAGAAACATACCAGTCCAGATTAGTTGCAGACCTTCAACTAATATCAGAAGGGTTTTTGATTCTTATTGGCTTAACTTATAAAATGTTCACCATAAGCTTCTTCAAGATAAGAATTGCATTTTGTCTTCATTGTTGTGTTTTAATTTATAGCTTAATGCTCAACTTTCAATAATTACTAACAATGGTTTATGCATGTTATGTGTGTGGCATCATCTGATAGGAACGCTTCCAACCGAAAATAACAGGAAACACTATATAGAGTGGGTGGCTTAATAAATATTGGATAATTTTTCTGGCATAACAAGTAGTCATGAGGGAAGCAGCTAGCATTGGTTCAGTGGTTTGACAATTTCTGAAATTCTCTTGGGATTTCTCATGTTTACTTCCTGGTTGCAAGATGACTGCAGTAGCTTTCAGCATTGCAGTCTGCCTTCAAGAAAGAAGGAAGAAGGAGCCATGCCAGGAATTATATCAGGTAATACCTTATAACATGCCCTGACATGAGGAAAAGCAAAATCCTTCCTAGAGCTCTTAGCAAGTTCAGGCCATGTCTTAGTTTCCAGAACTAAAGCATATGGCTGCTCTCACTGCAAAAGAGACTGGGGACATAAGAACTTAGGTTTCTTCCAACTGTTATGGCAGAAATGATAATGGAGAAATGGATTTAAAATACTTTAGTGTGAGCCAAAAACATTAGATGCTTATGTGAAAATAGAGAGAAAAAATAGAAACAAATGAAGAAAGAAACCAAAAAAAAGATAAAGAAAGAAAATAGAAAACATGTATTCCACTGCAATCCTAAAACAGGAAATATGAATTATTCAAAATGAAAAAGAGAGGTGATATGAAGCCACATATAAATGTTTTTCAAGTTCTTTTTGTGGTGGACATTGTCACTAGTAACCAAAGCAGACCCACAGAGAGTGTGTAGCAATTTCAGCAGGCATTAAGAACCTGTGGGTTGGTTGGGCACAGTGGCTCAAGCCTGTAATCCCAGCACTTTGGGAGGCTGAGGCGGGTGGATCACGAAGTCAGGAGATTGAGACCATCCTGGCTAACACGGTGAAACCCGGTCTCTAATAAAAATACAAAAAAATTAGCCAGGCGTGGTGGTGGGCGCCTGTAGTCCCAGCTACTCGGGAGGCTGAGGCAAGAGAATGGCATGAACCCGGGAGACGGAGCTTGCAGTGAGCCGAGATGATGCCCCTGCAGTCCAGCCTGGGTGACAGAGCGAGACTCCGTCTCAAAAAAAAAAAGAACCTGTGGGTTTTGCCAATTGTCAGGTCAAGGGAAAGCTCCAGGTAAACTATTGCTAAGAAATTTTAACCACTTCTGAATGTCCAAAACTTAAAATCACTACCCTACATGAATAGTGTTAATAATTTTTGTATACTATTCTTAACACATAATTTGGAAGGGTTATATTATTATAAGTTTTTTGTTGTCTGACTTTAAAATCACTTGCAAGTGTTAGAAAAGTACTTACAAGTATTGTAGAAGCTCTTTCTTTTCCTTTGGGTCAGTGCCATACAGTATAGAAAGCAAGTAGGCCATATTAATTGCTTAGTATCAAGTCAGAAGCTTCAATTTCTAGGGCACCTTTGACTCATTGTCCTACTAAAAAAAAAAGTGCAAAAGTGCATGCTACCTCCTCCTCCCCAGTCCCTGCTAGGATGTAAGCTCCATGAGGGTAGAGATTCTGTTTGTCTTGATTTCTACTATATCTGTAGTGTTTACAACAGTGCTTGATACAAAATAGTTATTCAATAAATAGTTGTAGCATGAGTAGGCAAAACTTCATCCAGTTAAGACCAATTGCCTACTAGGCAAATATTATTTTACTTGGAGGTGTAATTCAATACTTTCTGCAACACCCTACTGCAACATAGGTTGTACAGCAATAAAGTTAAACATCAGATCCTTCCTCAGAAAACAGCTTATTGAGCCAAAGAATGAAACTATAAGGATCTTGAGAGTGAGAGCCACATACTTATCTTTTGTCTTCCTTGCCAAACCCAAAGCCTGACACATAATAAATGTTTGTAAAATTAATTGCTGACCAGTTTTTATATTGAGCAATTACTAAAGTGTTGTCAATCAATATTTCAGTCTAAACCATTAAAATAAAACTAAATTGACATGTTTCCAATAAATATCCAACCTCTGAACTTTACTCCTAAGAACATTATTCAAGTTCAAAAGTATTCAACTTTCCAACCAGAAAACTAATGAAAATCACAGAGGTAATTCATAATACCCAAGTCAGGGTGAAGTATACACTTATACATGCATACATTACGGAGCACTTCTTATGGAGATCATTCTGGGTTAGTAAAATAAATAACCATTGACCTTAAAGAATACAAATTCAAATTGTGAATGTCCACTTATACATGGATTTTTTTTCCACCTCTGCACCCTTGAGACAGCAAGACCAGCCCCTCCTCTTCCTCCTCCTTCTCAGCCTACTCAGCATGAAGACAATGAGGATGAAGACCTTTAAGATGATCCACTTCCACTTAATAAAAAATATATTTTTCTTCCTTCTGATTTTCTTAACATTTTCTTTTCTCTAGCTTGCTTTATTGTAAGAATATAGTATATAATATACATAACGCATATAATATATGTGTTGACTGTTTATGTTATTGGTAGGGCTTCCACTCAACAATAGGCAATCAGTAGTTAAGTTCTGGGGGAGTAAAAAGTTATATGCAGACTCTCAACTACATAGAGGTCAGAGCCCCTAACCCATTTGTTGTTCAAGAGTCAATTGTATTCTCAACGAGATGAAAAGGATACTGTTAAGAACCCCGTTGGGTTTTTCTCTAAGAAGCAGAACCAAAAAAAGCTATGAAGAATAGAATTCTTCATGTGTTTTTAATTAATTTTTATCTATGCAATCCAAGTACAATTTGTAACAAGTTAAAACGGAGATAATATGATTATTCATGGCTGGAAGATTTAAAGCATTGTTTATTGAAATTGACTAATTTTTTGCTTACTACTTAATCCAGCCTTAAAGTAGAGCTCATTGTTAACCTCAAGGCACAATTTTATAGGACAGCAATAGATAAAGTAAATACATGAGTTTTCAACAAGTCAGATGCTGCATTTGTTGAAATATTTTTAAAACAAGCTCTTTCGCTTGTGGCATTTTTACTACGTTACACACAAGCTCAGCTAAGTGAGCATGAGCCATGTTAATATCTTGTGAGTATAAATGTACAGACTGCTCTTATTAATTTCAGTAAAGCCAGAAGTACAGCATCCTTCTCACATAAGTACAAGCACAAAGACATTTTGAGTTAGGCATTGTATTCCATGAAATGAAAAGGAACAAGAGCATAAAAAAAAGCTTCCAAGCAAAACACACAAACAAATACAGGAATAAGTTGGAAACCAGAAGCCTGAAGCGTTAATTAAACATTACCTTTTTCTCATAGTGAGAAAGATGCATCATGGTCATTTCTGTCTTTTCTCACAGTGCTTATTTCAAAACCCCAGCTGAGAAAGCAGCTGTGTAGAGCAAGGAACTGGTGAGCTCAGCAGGGGTCCTGTATCCTAATGCTACTCCCAGAAATTCAAGCTTGCTTTCAGTTGCGGTGTTGTCATTTACAATGCCAGAAATGTGGAGTGTTGTCCTCTTTTCCGCAGCAGTAGTAAAGATCATAGTGATGGTTTCTTTAAAGACTTCAAAAGCCTAAGTCACACTATTTTTATTGTTATTTATTTTCAATGTAGCCTCCAAAGAGCCAGCATTGGCTAGTTTTCAAAATATTTGAAATTGTAGTGAGCTTTCATTAATCATAATGTTAATGGAATAGATGATGGCAAAACAGACATGAAAGTTGAAGCATATGGCAGAGGGACTGTTGATTGCATTTCCCCACTCCCCATGACCAAAAAGAAAAAGAAAAAAAAAGAAAAAAGGAAAATGCTTCACTGTTACACTGCAATTTTTTTCCCAGATTGCAACATTGAAACCCTGATCTTTAATTGTAAAGAAACTGTTTTAAGCTTCTACTAAAAGTAACAATTCAAAATTAGCTGCAACCTAAAATAAAGCTGCATTTCTTAAAATCCCTTGGAAATGGAATTAATTTATATCTGTTTCTATATAGTGGCATTAAACTGTTTTATAAAGTGCTCTGAAAAATAATTACAGGGAGAGCACTGAGCAACACAATGGCTGCAGGACATGATTGATGCTGTAAGATTGTCATGAATGAAGAAAGCATGTCGTATTCGGAGCCAAGAGTCCTAGTGGAATTGAGCCTTCAACAAACACAGAAAAGCAATTGTTTACATTTCTGAAAGTATCATAGCTTTTAAATACATATGTGCTTAATGTATGAAATCATATTTATACTTATAAAATAGACACATGTGTTGGTATAGATACTTAAAGGCATTCAGCTTCAATATTTACTAGTCTCAGTACTTAGAGTAATTATTAAAATATTTAAACTCAAATATCAACCATTTTAAATATATATTTTATTATTGAGTACATTTCCTTTTTGCCTCAAAACTGTAATCAGATATAAAAATTAGTACATGATACCTGAAAAAGGATTATATTCTAAGTTATTTTATGAGTGTTTTTGTTTGTTTGTTTGATTGATTTTTGAGACCAAGTCTCACTCTTGTTGCCCAGGCTGGAGTGCAGTGGCATAATCTCAGCTCACTGCAACCTCTGCCTCCCAGGTTCAAGCGATTCTCCTGCCTCAGCCTCCCCAGTAGCTGGGATTACAAGGACCTGCCACCATGCCTGGCTAATATTTTTATATTGTTAGTAGAGATGGGGGTTTCACCAAGTTGGCCAGGCTGGTCTGGAACTCCTGACTTAGGTGATCCTCCCGCCTCAGCCTCCCAAAGTGCTGGGATTAGAGGCATGAGCCATTGCACCCAGCCTCCAATAGGTATTTATAAGATTATACTCAGTGTATAGAACTTTATCACCGACTTAAAACCAAGATTACATACAATAAAAATTCAGATTCAAACATTATTGACACATTTTCTTTCAGGAAGTTGCCTTTGTTTCTCAAATAAACATTTAACCAAAATTACTTGGGAAAATAGTAAACTAATAGATGAGTATTCTTGAGTAACATCCCAAATTTAATAGCTTAAAGCAAAACACAATTACCTCATTTTGAAATTTTAAATCCACTAATTTATAGAGAATCATGCAGCTCAAATATGTTGCCATAACATTTTGCTGTATGCTCATAATCATTTCTTTCTTTCTTATTCATCCATCCATTTATTCACAATATCTGCTGAGATTTCTGCCAATAGCTGACATTTTTGCCCTGAAGAAATACTTCAGATTTTGCCTAGTCAAATACCGTTTTCAAAAATAGCCAATATTCACTTTTAGCATCAACAAATATATTCATCTGTCCAAAGATGCTACTCAGTATAAGAAAATGAATAAGGTAGTTATCAAGAAATTGAATATGATCATATCTTTCAAAGTAATATTTTAAAGTTGGATTTCTCACCATACCCCTAAATAACTTCAGATGGACTAAAGAGTTAAACTTAATAGTAAAATCAAGTTTGGGCCATTGGAAGGGTGTATGAAAATAAGAAGGGCATGGTAGAAAGCACAAAGGGAAAAAATGGGCCTACGGAACTACATAAAATTTTAATATGCAAAAAAATTTTTTTACTAAACTGTAAAAGTATTTTCAATTCCTTGAAGAACTAACATGAATTGAATAAGAAACACAAGGCCCCAACTGACAAACAACATGAAGAGATACTCCAAAAAGAGCAAATGCAGAGGTTAAAAAAAAATCAACCTCACAAATAATTATGGAAACTCAAGTTAAAAATTAGATTCCATCTTTGCGTATTAAAATAATCCATTTTTAAAATGTACAATTCACAGTAATGATGGAGGTACAGTATCATATATTACTGTTAATAGTGACATATGGCAATTTGTCAGGAAAATATGGTTATAAAAGAGAACAAAGAAAAATGACCACATATTTGATACTAATAGCCATCTCCGAGATTCTATTTTTTATCAGGAAACTGTATTTACAATGGTGCATAAGACATTACATCATAAAATTGAAAATATGAAAAAAACTAAATATCCAATAAGAGGTAGTTTCAGAATGTGAAAACTTGCCCTGGCAATGGGAAGTAAGAGAAGGCTGTAATAAATACACACTCAATATCAATGATGACCTAAGCATGATGTGTTTGTCACCATGCCTGAAACAAGATAGCAACAAGGACATTCTGCAACCACAAAACAACTAAACAGCCCTCTCTTTGTACTAACCCTAGTGGCTTCCGCTGATTTACCAATACAACACAGTGCTGTTTTGATCCTCCCACCTCCTAGAGAGTAATTGCCAATATAACCAGTCTCTAAATTGCCCCTGCTTTCTGACAGCATCCAAGTCAGAAATGGCCTTCTCCTCTTTAAGCCCTGTTAGAATCACCCTGCTTGAGGCTAAATCCTTTCATAAACCTTTCCCCAAATCCTCCTACTGGAACCTCCACAGTTCCACCTGTGAGTGTTCTCCTTTGCAACAGCAAGCTAAATAAACCTCATTTTGTTTCATTCATTTGTGTTCTTATGATCTTCAGCTGGTGGATTTCAATAGGTCAAGCTATGACCCTCTATTATATTGAGTATTATGCAATCATTCTAATGATAGCATGCAAAAGTATAAGACATGACAATATCTACATGAAAAATATGTAAAGAAAATATATCAAGTGCTATGATTAAAACACTGGGTTTATTGGTGCTTGTCCTCCAAGTGACATCTTCCTTATTTTCTTCCCTAAATTCTAACTTTCTTAAAGTTGAGTAAATTGTATTTCTAATAAAAACATTTTGTTAAAATATGTCATATGTGAATGAAACAAAATCTCTTCCCTCAGTTAAACAGGAGAGTTCATGTATCTTGTGTACTCATTTTTTTCTACTTATTCAGCAAGAAATAAATATGTATGTAACTATTAATTAATATGTATTGGTAATTAATTTGATGCTTCTAAGTTAATTATACATAATGATTAATTCATGCACATAGTTGATTTATTGATACATACAATGAATTAATTTATATGCATCTGTCATTATTTGATACATACAAATTGCAATAATCTATTCCTTTACATGTTCATTTATTCTTTTGTGTTCATTTATTTATTAAGCTCAAATATATGGTGAATTTAAAAAGCTCAAATATATGTTGAGTTTCCTTAATTTTCCAGACAGGAATATAGTGAGACAGAGTTGAAAATGATGAACCTCCTACTGGAAAGGAGCTCACTCTGCAATGGGGAGAGAGAAGGTAGATAGAGGTACATTATCAAATGGAGGGATGCATCTGTACTCTCACACACAGATGACGCTATGGGAACAGTGTTGAGGGAACACCTGCTCTCCTGGGTGAGAGTGGTCAGGGGTGACTTCAAGGTGAAGGTGATGTTCTCTCTGAGTTCTGAATAACAAGTATGTGTTTGTCAGGCAATGGAGAGAAGGGAGAGTATTCCAAGCTACTTAAGAATATATAATTAAGAGTTAAAGTAAGAAAGACAATTAATGCCTAAAGATCAATGTGGGTGTGATCAGAGAGGGATTTGTGAAGGGAGTAAAACTTGACCTTGATCTTAGAAAACGGAGGTGTCTAGCAGGAGAAAGAAGATTCAATCTGGAATACTTGCATAAGCACTCATCCATCTGTGACTTGGTGGGCAATATAAATTATTATAGAATAGTTTCCTGTGTCTGTAAAGAGTCATCAGATAAATTAGGAAGCATGATTTTAGTTCAGTATCTCCAAGCATAATACTTCTGTGAATTGCAGTATAAATCAGATCCCACATTTGACAAACCTTCATTCTTACATTAGTAAAAGGTCACTTGAGACAGTATCCTTCCTTAGCAGAGGAAGGTTCACCACACAAAGTCAGCTGAAAAAGCTTAAACGAATACTGTCTGATCTAATCCAGTTGTTTTATGAACACAAGTACCTGTCTATTAGGATTGCCCCCACAACACTACAAAGATATTTTTCTGATACACTGCTACATTTTTATGTTCTCTGAACTCAGAGTTGGGACAAAAATGATAAAAGTAGAGGCAATGCTTCTTTGACATTAACTAAAGAAAAAAATAAAAGAAGATCAATCAGATTCTGACGGAGAAAAGTTATGCCAAGTTCCAAAGGTGCAAAAAATACAAAGTGTAGCGGAGAATATATTTCAAATTTTAAACTGGGTCTGGAAATGTTGCAAGTATAGTTACATATGGCAGGCAAACAGAATACATGCCAAAAGAAGCAAAGTGAGTGTAAGAAGGTGTGAAGCTTGATCTGTGCATATAAGGAACATTAGCAAAGATAATAAAAAAGAAAAATATCTGTACAGAAAATGGGCCCCATTTGTACAGAAAAGAATAGGGAGCAGTTTTGAACATGATATGAAGAACCAGAGAAATTAAAGTGGGACAAACTATCTTAGATTCCATTTGATTTGTATTTCCCTCCTCTAACCTGAGGCTTGACAGAGGCCTTTTACTTTATCTAGAACCATCGCTTTCCTCCTTTCCATTTCATTAACAAAAACATGTGAAACAAGCCTATGCCCCTTGAAGAGTTAAAATGTAGACACGTTTAGGAGGAGTTAGAAAGCAAGACCAAATATTCCTTTCTGTTCCATTTCATGCCTAAAGTCAAGTTATTTCTTTTCCTCTTAATGATTGATGAGTCCACGCTAACTGGGGGAAGAATATAAGGAAAACACAATAGAATGACTCATGCATGTTTGCTTAAGGAACTGTTAAGGAATTGTCTTTGAAATATAGTACATGCTGTTGATTATTCTGAAAAGGTAAAAGAAATAGCAATCGTTTCTTTTTTTTTTTTTTTTTTTTTCAGGGTGGAGTGCAGTGGTGCGATCTCAGCTCACTGCAACCTCTGCCTCCTGGGTTCAAGCAATGCTCCTGCCTCAGTCTCCCAAGTAGCTGTGATTGCAGGCATGCACCATCAAGCCTGACTAATTTTTGTATTGCACAATCACACCTGACTAATTTTTGTATTTTTATTAGAGATGGGGTTTCACCATATTGGCCAGGCTGGTCTTGAACTCCTGACCTCAAGTGGCCCACCCACCTCGGCCTCCCAAAGTGCTGGGATTACAGGGATGAGCCACAGTGCTCCTCCAGAAATAGCAATCCTGTTGTCTAGTTTCATAGCTGTCCTATATACAGAAGTAACCCTGTTAACACGTATTCAAACAGCTGAAAGATATTTTCCCAGAATGTTAATATTACCCTCCTTATTTAAAGGTAAAAGCTCATCTTTTGACTTGATTTTAATGTAATATAAAATGTATATGACTGGATTAGTCATGTAATGCTGATAACTAATTACCCCAACATTTACCACCTTAAAACAAAGGTTTTTATTTCACAGTTTCTGAAGGTCAGGCTTCCTGGCGTAGCTTCACTGTGACCTCTGGCTCAGCATCTCTCACGAGGCTGCCATCAACGGGTCAATGATGGCTGCAATCATGTCAAGACATGACAGGGAGAAGGCCTAATTCCAAGCTCATCCATGTAGCTCTCAGTAGGCCTCCAGTCCTGGCTGGCTGTGGGCTGGTAACACCAGCTCCATGTCACATAAGCCTCTCTGCAAACCATTCACAATACAGCAGCCAGCTTCCTCCAGAGCAAGAGGTGAGTAACAGAGACAGAGACAGAAACAAAAGTCATGGTATTCTGTAACCCAATCGTGAAAGTGACATCGCATCAGTTTTGCCATATTCTATTCATTAATGAGTCAGTCACTATGTACAACACACACTTAAGGGAAGAGAATTATGCAAAGGTGTGAATACCAAGACGCAGGATCATTGGGGACCACTTATCAGCCTGCCATTCAAAATGACTAAAACAGTCCTTAACTAATTCAAAATTATGCATATTTCATTTAAAGTGTGATATTTTTAACAATTTAAATTTGGAGATCACAAAGAGATATGTTTATTATCTCCCCAAAATTTGATCTGTTATTCATTCACCATATTTGATTGGTTACTTGACCAACTAATAACCTAACCATCTGGCTGAATGTGGCATTGTGTCTATGACCTGCTAATAGACTAACACAATTGAATTGGCCCACATCAACTACGAAATGACCACTGTGAGTGAGGTTATAGGAAAAACAAAAAATGATTTTCTTACCCTCCTGTCTTATACAGAATGCTTCATCTCTGGTCACCAAAATGTGGAGGTGGAAGGCAAAAATTGCCTGCCCCAGCAAGCTGTGGCTGTGGGCTGGTAACATCAGCTCCCTAATGAGCAATTTTTCAGCAGACCTCAACTGGGTGTCCCCTAATTCAACCCAATTCTGACACTATCTACCTGCAGATAGTGTCAGATCCCACAAGTCAAGGGCTCAGGCCCATAAAACTGCCCACACTAGGGACACCAGTTGTAAGTTTGGGCCTCTGGAACTCCTGAAGACTGACTATAAATTGAGGGTTTCCACAACTCCTTTCCTTGAATTGATTAATTTCCCATGATGGCTCACAGAATTCATGGAAACACTTACATTTTACTGGTTTATTAATAAAGAATATTACAAAAGATATTGATGAACAACTGGAGGAAAGAAATGCAAAGGGCAAGGTATGTGAGAAGGAGCTTGGAGCTTCTGTGCCCTCTCTGGACACACCATCCATTAGAAAGCTCCATGCATTCAGCAATCCAAAGCTCTCCAAACCCTGCTCTATGGGGCTTTTATGGAGGTTCCATTACATAGGCATAACTGATTGCATCATTGGCCATTGGTGATCAACTCAACTTTCAGCCCCTCTCCCCTCCCTAAAGGTTAAAGGAAGTTGGGCGATGGGGTTGAAAGTTCCAATCTTCTAACCATGCCTTGGTCTTGGGTGACTAGCCCCCATCCTAGCCACAAGCCACCTCATTAGCATATAAAAGACACATACCACTGGAGATGGCAAGGGTTTTAGGAACTGCATGTCAGGAAACAGTGATGAAAACCAAGTACAATATTTCACAATATCACAATCCCTTTGTATCAAATTAAAGTACCTTACATAACAGAAAAATATTCAAAAAGAGTGAAACATGTATTCTCCAGGGAAAAACCGTTTACAATTTCTCTGATAATAGAATATAAACTCATCAACTTTATATAAATACACCACTGGCCATTTTATGATTTCTTTCTATTGATTCCCCCAACATTCAAATCAAATTGATTTCTCCTAGTGTCACAGCCAGACTTGTCTGCTCTATTTTAGCCAAACAAGCCAGTTGATTGCCACCTGTTTATCTGTGCCTAATTCTCATTTACAAGGACCCCCCATAGCTTAACTTCAACAATTCATACATGTTCTAACCTTCAGAACTCAATGTAAAGCATGTTTCCATTGCCCAAACTTTCCAGACTAACTTTGAGCTGTAGAGATTCTAGTTTTTCCAGGATTCCAAAGTAACAGAAAGCGAGACTCTGACAAATCCTACACAGCTATATGGCTGTCTCTTAGTCACTCATCAATGAAGAGCCTTTGCATTGCGCTCTGGCTTTGAATCCTTGCAGCTGATTCATTCTCAAGATTTTACAGCACCCAGCTGGAGCAAAGTCTACATCCCATAATAGAGCTCTACTTTAGTTCCTCAATCCTTTCTTCTCCCAGTCCAGGTATCCAGACCACCCCACTCCACCACGCATCTCCCTGCCCACAGGAGGCTTTTGTCTCACCAAAGGTACTTCTTAGTTTGGGGCTGTTAACCAGTCAAATCCTGCTTTCTGGGTAACTCTCTACATAGTAATATATATTAACTAAAGAACACGCATTATCAGATTTCCTAATTTTTCTCTAATGTCACTTTTCTATTCCAGGATCCCACACTACATTGAGTCATCATGTCTCCTACGGCTCCTCTTAGCTGTGACAGTTTCTTACATTTTTCTTGTTTTATATGACCTTGAGTTTTGAGGTTTACCTGTTGGGTGTTTTGTACAATGTCCCTCAATTCGAATTTGGCTGAGGTTTTTCTCACAGCTAACCTAGGGTTATGAAAGTGCCATTCTCAACACAACACATCAAGAGTTTATGCTAACAACTTATCTCTGATGCCATAAACCTTTATCACCTGACAAGACTGACAGGTTTCTTCACTGTAAAGTTACTTTGTTACTCCCCCATTCCCATTCTGTACTCTTTGGAAGCAGGTTACTACATGTAGCCCCACAGACACATAAGGAGTACAGAGTTATACTCTATCACCTTGAGGAGGGAGCAGCTACGTAGCTTATTTGGAATTCTCTGTATAGTAGATTTATCTATTCTACATTTCTTTACTTATTCAATTATTTATTTGTGTCAGTATACAATCATGGATATTTATTTATACTTTTTTTGTTTTGTTTTGTTTTTGGGGGATATTTTTTTTAAGACGGGGTCTCACGCTGTCGCCCAGGCTGGAGTGCAGCGGCTCCATCTCGGCTCACCGCAGCCTCCACAACCAAGGTTCAAGCGATTCTCCTGCCTCAGCTTCCTGAGTAGCTGGGATTACAGGAACGTATTTATGCTTTGGGTTGTAATCTATTACTACATTATTTAACATACCATTATAAGCTTTGGCAGTTGGAAACTCTTTCAGTTGTCTCGTGCATCTCTTTGACATACCATGTCATCTTTTAAAGCACTTCCATAGTTTCTGACATTAGAAGATGCTCCTGGCTCATCACGTGTATTTCAGAATCGGCCCTAAAATTAGCTATTTTTGCAAGAAACCCTGGTTCCTTTTACCGGTGAATGGCATTAAAAACTACTACGTGGGTGCTGGCTGTACTCATTGCCAGTGGGAAGCCATTGCTCTTAGGTTTCCTAGGTGAGCAGGGCTAGGAAATAGATGTGTGTTTGCCAACCTTTGCATACACATTGTTTAGAATTATTTCTCCACATAGCCATCACTCTCTACATTAAGCTAAACACGAATTCATACTGATGTTTCCAACTTAATCCATAAAAATGAGGCTCATTCTAGCTTTCTCCCTCGCTTATGTGTGTTAATATAAAAGCTTTAGACAAATTAAATGTAAAAGAGTTTATCTGAGCAACGAATAACTCATGAATTGGACTCTAAACAAGTACAATACTTATATACAGTTTAATAGTTTAATCTGTCATTAGTCTTCAGTCATCTTCAAAGTTAATTTTTTTTTTTTTCTTTTTGAGATGGAGTCTCGCTGTCTCCCAGGCTGGAGTGCAGTGGCGCGATCTTGGCTCACTGAAAGCTCCGCACCCCGGGTTCACGCCCTTCTCCTGCCTCAGCCTCCAGAGTAGCCGGGACCACAGGCGCCTGCCACCACGCCCGGCTAATTTTTTTTTTTTTTTTTTTTTTTTGTATTTTTAGTAGAGACGGGGTTTCACCGTGTTCGCCAGGATGGTCTCGATCTCCTGACCTCGTGATCCGCCCGCCTCGGCCTCCCAAAGTGCTGGGATTACAGGCATGAGCCACCGCGCCCGGCCAAGTTAATTTTTTTTAGAATACATGTATTAGGCCATTCTCACACTGCTATGAAGAAATACCTGAGGCTGGGTAATTTATAAAGGAAAGAGATTTAATTGACTCACCGTTCCACATGGCTGGGGAGGCCTCAGAAAACTTACAATCATGGCAGAAGGAAAAGGAGAAGCAGACACCTTCTCCACAGGGCAGGAGGACAGAGTGAATGCAAGCAGAGGAAATGCCAGATGCTTATAAAACCATCAGTTCTCGCGAGACTCACTATCACAAGAACAGCCTGAGGGAGACCACCCTCATGATCCAATTACCTCCACCTGGTCCCTCCCTTGACGTGTTGGGATTATGGGGATTACAATTCAAGATGAGATTTTGGGTGGGGACACAACCAAACATATCAATACATAATAATTTTTTTCTTTTCTTTTTTAATTTCAGTAGTTTTGGGGGAACAGGGAGTTTTCAGAAGAGAATTCAGAGAGCACTGCTCTGCAGTTTTGGCAATGAGCTTTTATAGGCTGAACACAGAAGTAAAGCACAGAGATAGCTTGATTGGTTGCAGTTGCCTTATTTGGATGTGCTCTGGTCAGTTGGCTGCCTGTGATTGGCCGAAGCTTGACTTCTTGTGATTGGCTGAGACCTGGGTATCTGTTACAAAACGTATACTCCTAAGTTAGGTTGTAGTTTGTTATTTGGAACTCAATGTACAGAGGCAGCCTCAGGCCAATGGCTTTCTGCCTATTTTATTTAACATGTGTTAACCCCATTTCAACAGTAAAAAACTTAGCTCCCATCATCCACCATCCATTTATTTATTTGTTTAATTTTAGTAGACATGTACAGAGTTTTCATAATTGTGAAGTCACACACCTGTTAAGAAATAACTTTATCAACTAGAGTACAATAATTACCTAGCTTAATAGTTTGTCATTAGTCTTAAAGTCATTCCAAAGTTATTTTTTTAGATACATAACTTTTTTCTTTGATTTTTTAAAAATTTCGATAGCTTTTGGGGAACAGGTTGTTTTTTGTTACATGGATAAGTGGTTATTTCTGAGATGTTGGTGCACCTGTCACCTGAGCCGTGTACACTGTACCCAATGACTGAAGTTAATTAAATCAGCATTTCTTTGTCCCTACCCTCTTAAGTGAGGTTATTTCATACATTTATAATATGATCAGATTATTTAGTTACAGTCTGCATCCCATTCTGGATTTCCTGATCTTCTGGTTGATTTTTTTTTTAATTGTGCCTACATTACAGTAAATTCTTTGCACTATAAAGTTATATGGGATTTGACAAGTTAATAATGTCATGTATCCACCACTACAGTCCTGTACAGAATGGTTTATAGGCTTGAAAGAAATCACCTGTGCTTTACCTAATGAATCCGTCTTCCTCCCCAAAACTCTGCCTATCACTGATTTGGCTTCTACAGTTTTTTTTTTTTCTATTCCAGAATGTAATATAAATGGAATGATATGGTATGTAGCTTTCTAAGACTAACTTCTTGCACTTAGCAATGCTCATTTACGATTCATTCATATCTTTACATGGCTTGATAGTGTACTTCTATTGCTGAATAGTATTCCATGGTATGGAGGTACCACAATTGTTTCTCCATTCGCCTTTTGAAGGACTTCTTGATTCCTCACAGCTTTTGGTAAATATGAATAGAACTGCTATGAACATTCATGTGCAGGCTTTTGTGTGAGCATAATTTTTCAAATCCGTTGGATGAATACCTAGAAGCGTAAATGTTAAGTCATGTGGTAAGTCTATGCTTAGCTTTATATCAACATTTGAATTATTGATGGATACCAAGTTATGCAAATGTCTCTTAGCATAATGTGCTTTATGAATTTTTGTCACCACTCAAAAAAGGCTTTCTAGTAAACCATAAGAAAATTGGGAGAAAATTAGCTTAACAATTACTGTAGGGCAGCATTTCAAAGGCTGGATTCTATTGGGGAGGGGAGCAGAGGAGGAGAAGTGTTCAAAGGCAAGAAAAGAGAATGTAGACAGAAAATTTCAGCTAAGTTGTAAATGTGAAAGGAGGATTTGAGAAAACAGAAGTTGGCAATGGAAGAAATATGTTTCATACCTGAATTTGGTCACTCAAATGTATCCTAGAAAGGAGTAACAGTCTATTAAAAATCGGTGCTGAGGAGGAAAAGAAGTATGACAGAATAGAGACACAAAGTATGTAACAAGGGAGAGAAATAAACAGCAGGGTTGAGGAAACCATGAGCCTTTTGAGCTGGAGGCACATCAAGATTGGGCAATGCAGCCTGCAATCACCAAAAGGATGTGGATTTGGGGGTGACCCACGTCCCTGAGAATAAGCCTCTCAGCAATCTCGATCTCTTTGATTGACAAGAGTCTTCAATGAACATATTCAAGTCCTGGTCCTTCACCTCTTTTGATGGTGTCCTTTTTAGAGGAACGCTGAGCAATTCGACTGCTCTCTGCTTCTCCTCGCACTCCATCCACATGGCATATGTAAGGGCATGTAACAAAAGCTATAAATGTCATAAAAATGAAAAGAGTCCAGAAAGGTTACATTATAATCCAATCCTTAATGCAGGAATAAAATGTGTAAAATGTAATTTGGTGTGGCTCCTGTTTCTTCTAGGAGCATGTGAATGAATGGTGACTGAGTGTGTGGTTACTGAAATAATCAAATAATCACATGAAGTAAATAGGATCAGGAAACGCTTCATCCACAGATGCTCTATCATTGCTGTAACCATGACACACAGAGAAAAGCATGCTTCCCTAGACCTTGCTTCATTCCTTTACTTCATACACATGAGAGACTCTCTTGGCTGGCACCTTCCCATCTCCTTCCCATATAATTGTGGAACTATTTGCCTCTCAAGGTGTCCTACTCGGGAGGCCAAATTAGGAAATCCATCGCAGATGCATGATTAAGTATGTTTTGTTCCTAAAACATACCAACTCTTGAAATGGTAATTCTCTTGAATGGTAATTTTCATTTTTCGTTAGTATTTCTTCAGAGCTCTAAAATACAAAGAGCTAAAATTATAAACTGTAAAACGTGTATAATTGAGATAATTCATTATTCTGGCTTGGGGAAAATATTATCAGCTAAGTTCACTTAGAATCTTCTAATTAAACAGCAATAATCATTTATAAGAATAAGTTAATGACCTTTTTTGTTGTAGTTGTTGTTGGAGTCTTGCTTTGTCGCCCAAGCTGCAGTGCAGTGGTGTGATCTTGGCTCACTGCAATCTCCGCCTCCGTGGTTTCAGCGATTCTCCTGCCTCAGCCCCCTGAGTAGCTGAAATTGCAGGCACCCGCCACCACAACCGGTTAATTTTTATGTTTTTAGTAGAGACGGGATTTCACCATCTTGGCCAGGCTGGTCTTGAACTCCTGACCTCAAGTGACCTGCCCGCTTCAGCCTCCAAAGTGTTGGGATTACAGGCATGAGCCACCACACCCAGCCCAAGCTCTTTTTAAACTATGTCTCCACCTCCATCATTCCTACTCTAGGATTACTGAGTAGGGGGACAAATGTGGGAGAAAACTAGAACTCAGGTCCTTTTGCAATGCCTGTCTTGTAATATATCCCTAATATATTTGAATGTAAACCTACCACCATTTTTTTAATTTCTAATCTGTGAGTTTCGTATTCGAAAGGTGTTCAAAGTTACCATTGATGTGAGAGACGTAAAAGCACCCATGTCTAAAATAACCAAAATATGTAGCTGAGTAATTTAGTGACATCAAAAGGTAGTTCTTCATTTTACTGAACAGTGAGAATATGTGGGACATTAAGTATGCAGCATCCATTGCATTAGCAATGTAAGACTTCTCTGTCATTAGGAATGAAGATGTACCACAGACATGTAAGGACCCACAGTAAAACCTCATCAATATTTTCAAAACACATCACACTCCTCTTTTGCTCTTTGAGATGCATTAGCAACCTTATTAGGTTCTCTGTCCAGAATTATCTCCCTGTCTTAATCTTTGACCTGCTAATATTTCAAAATGCACTAAGCTAACAATTAAATCTTTCCCTGATCCTCTTTAGATGCTGATCAGGCATTTGGCACTCTCTTAAAAGCATAATAAGACTCATTTTTCTTCTGCTTGGTATGATTAGGTTTTTATTTTAAATAGGTGAATATAAATGACTGCATGATGTTGTACAACTTCAGTGAGATGGTGATGGGAGTAGAGATGAAAAAAGAGAAGACGGAGGGAAGACATTTTTAAATCGGGAGATATTGATGGTTCAGAATAATGTCATTTTCAGCTTATTCAGCCTATGAAATAGAACAATTTTTTTTACCATTTTTCACATTTGAAAAACTGAAGTCTACAATTTGCATTATCTTTACCCCTTTTACCCTCAGATAATTTTCTAATAAATTATTTTTCTATTTTCTGCTGCGACTCACAGATTATTCTTTTTAATGTTTGTGTTCTTCATAATATAAACCATAAATTCTCTGTGTATTTTAATGTGCCAAGTAGATTGCCAAGTGTTCTTTCTGCATAAGCATGCACATACAGACCTGCATAAATATATTTCTATATTTATATACATGTATATGTATATAATTAGTATGGAAACAAACATTCTCATGGATGCCAAAATAACATCTAAATTGTTGCCAAATTTTAACTTAGTCACATAATGATTTCTCTGCTCCTCAAGAAACCCCTTTTATATCTTTGTAGTAGTCCTATATAGTAGAAGCTAAATATTAGCTTTCAATCAAAAATGAGGTTATTAATGACATGAATTTTCTTGGTGGATTTGTGCTCATACCAAATAGAATGTGACTGATGGTTAAAAAGTAAACTTTTACTGATTCAGCGGAATGCCAAAAGCCTAGAATAAAAAGTACCTGCAAAGTGTCATTCACTTTTAAAAGCAAGCTGCGGGGTCATCTGTGAGTTACTTGACAGGGTAGGGCCCAGCATAGTTCTGCCAGCTGTTGGGAGCCCATCCCTGTAGTGGAGATTAGAGGCATCAGTTTGGATAGAGTTGCCTGTGAAGGGTGAAGGGTGAGGGCAGACAGACAAAAAAGGGCTTCAAGGTACCACCAAAGAGCTTAACCCATGTCCCTGGAAGGTTTAGGGGTCTGGATTGGTTCCATGGTGAGATTCAAAATATTTGACACCTGGCTGTTGCACAGAGCTTGCCAATGGCTGAACAGGATCCTGGAGCCCTGAGGGGCTAGAAGTTACTTCTTCATTGCTGAACTGTGGAAAACTGAGAATCATGAAGGAAGGGGAAGGGGAAGGAGGTGCCTACTTGACTGGGTAACTCAGGGTCACTTATTTATCAAACTTACAGAAGTGTTCTTATATTTTTACAACCTGTAAGGCTCTGCCACTTACAGTAGGTCAGTCTTGACTAAGTACTGATTTACACAAACAAAAGAGAAGATCTAGAGAGACTCTGGTGCTATTGGCTTAATAGCAGAGATAGGGAGAGGGAGGAAGAGGGGTGGGGGAAGAGAGGGGGAGGGGGAGAGAGAGAGAGAGATAGAGAGAGAGAGAGAGAGACAGAGAGAGAGAGAGAGAGAGAGAGAGAGAGAGAGAGGTAAATCTGGAATGAGGCTGGGTGTGGTGGCTCACGCCTGTAATCCCAGCACTTTGGGAGGCCGAGGGGGGCTGATCACGAGGTCAGGAGATCGAGACCATCCTGGCTAACACGGTGAAACCCCGTCTCTACTAAAAATACAAAAAATTAGCCGGGCTTAGTGGCGGGCGCCTGTAGTCCCACCTACTCCAGAGGCTGAGGCAGGAGAATGGCGAGAACCCGGGAGGCGGAGCTTGCAGTGAGCCGAGATTGCACCACTGCACTCCAGCCTGGGCGACAACGGGAGACTCCATCTCAAAAAAAAAAAAAAAAAAACAAAATCTGGAATGATCTGCACTTTCACGCTGGAGCCCAGCAGAGAGGAGCATGAATTTTCAGTGTCTTGAGTGTGATTATGACTCTGGTCTGGACATTTTAATGGCTGAAGTGAGACTGTTCTCTGGAGTTTTATTTGAGCTCTTTATTATCCAACTGTAGCTGAATAAAACTCTGATATAAATCTGAGTTCGTCCAGAGGCAAGGAAAGAACTGTCTATCCCACGGGACAGGTTTAAAAGGTGAGTGGCAGAAAAAGCAAAGTGTGTTTTCTCTTTGTACCTTAACATGCATACAATAGAAAGGTTAGAACAGCAAGGCATCCAGTTCGAACTGAAGCTGCCATTTGGACCTAACTGGGCTAGTCAGAGAAACTGATGGGAAGAGCCAGCAGTATGTCCTGGCAGTGATGTGTTGTATTCTATTTGGTTGGTTTGGATTTTGATGGGAGCTAACACCAGAGAAGACAAGAATAAAAACCAGAACAGCTCCACTGTCTGTTGCACTTGCCTCTGCCTGAGGCCACTGGACAGCACATCAGGTAGAAGCCTGAGTTGTTCTCCTGAAGGATTGCCTAAGATGGAAGGTATTTGCAGCACAGCTGAGGACACAGCACAAGCTGTGACCCCCTGAGGACAAGGGGAGTGGCTTTCCTTTATGTAAGGACTGGAGTGAGTTTGGCTCAGTGAAGACTCCAGGAAGTCATCACACAATTTAAACCTCAGACCTTATCCTTTGCGGAGCATAAGGACATGAGGCCTTGTCCTAGACTCAGGAGCACCCTGGCAGGTCCTGACAGCAATGGTCACCTACCGTGAGATGTCACCCAAAGGTGGCCAATGGTGGATGATCAGAGAGAAGGTGAACCCAACCAGAATATGCTGGACTAGTTCTCAAATTTGTAGGCCCTAAAAAGAGGAATATTTATTATAAAATGTAATAAATATGAATATTTTTATTCAAACATGGATAATTAGAATTTAAAATTTTTTAAAACTTACTGTAGATATATTACTTCTTACTCTAATTTCTTTCACCACCTGATTATTTAAAATTTAGAAGAATTGTATTCTATTAAACCCCTAAGTGCTAAATAATTTCCATACTAACAAATTTGCCCTATAATTTTTGAAACTGTTAATTATGTCTGCCTATATCTTTCTTTGTGATAACTTTTAGTTGGAACTTCATAGTAACTTTATATTTGGTTATTGAGATATCAGTCTCCTTTCATTTGAATTGTTGGCATCATTTTGTTCATTAGCTAAGTAGTAATAGGTAAAAAATTTGAAAATTCCGCATGTTATATGTTAGGATTTAGTATATGATTTGGTTGGGATTAACTACAAATTCTAAGCATGCCTAAAGTTGTTGTTTTTTTTTTTTTTTTTTTTTTTTAACTTTAGGTTCTGGAGTACATGTGCACAACGTGCAGGTTTGTTACATAGATACACATGTGCCATGTTGGTTTGCTACACCCATCAACTTGTTATTTACATTAGGTATTTCTCCTATTGCTATCCCTCCCCCAGCCCCCCACCCCCCAACAGGCCCCGTGTGTGATGTTTCCCTCCCTGTGTCCATGTGTTCTCATTGTTCAACTCCCACTTATGAGTGAGAACATGCAGTGTTTGCTTTTCTCTTCTTGTGTTACTTTACAGAGAATGATGGTTTACAGTTTCATCCATGTCCCTGCAAAGGACATGAACTCATCCTTTTTTGTGGCTGCATAGTATTCCATGGTGTATATGTGCCACATTTCTTTATCCAGTCTATCATTGATGGGCACTTGGGTTGGTTCCAAGACTTTGCTATTGTGTACAATGCTACAATAAACATATTTGTGCATGTGAATTTATTAAATACTAAAAGACTGTACATAGTGATAATGGGTTCTAATGATTCACTTTGGCTATATAAAATATTTTAATTTATTAAAAATAGCATAAAGATACAACATGAGGTAACATAAAACTACTTTCCAAATATAATGAAATAATTATCTGCACCTTTACAATTCTCTATTTGCAAAAATTTGTAGAGATGTTTCCTAGAGCAGTATCTATTTTGTGTCTAAATATGGCAGAAGAGATATGGAAGGCATCTACAGTTCTTCACGTAACATTGGGCTTGATGGCGTCTGTCAATGTCCACTTCTTTTCAACCTGCCACTTTGCCTCACATGGAACTTGTAGCTACTATACACCACCTCCATGTATCTTCAGTATATTTGTGCAATGACTTTTACATGGCACAGGTATGTCTCCTTGCATGGAACTGACCTAGCTGTGAATTTTTGTAATTTTGATAAAAATAAAAATATAATTCCTTTCTTTTGAAGTTCTGTTATTGCAGATATAGGTTTTTTAAACCTTTATGCTTTGTTTTCTTTCATGAATGCAAGTGTACTGCAGAAATGCATGTCCATCAAGTATACCAAATGTCAGGCTCTTGACAATGTTGTATCAAAGATGCTAGAAGAGTCCAAGGTGAATGCTTAAATAAATAGATGTTTCATAAGCACTAACTTAATAGTGTCCTATTAAAACAATGGAAAACAAAATGAGACTGAACTTTCTATTCATATCTCATTTCAGTGCACATGATAAATTGATGAAAACATTGATTTTCAGTGTGGAAGAAGAGAGAATAGGTGTTGATTAGTTCATCAAAGGGCTCTTTCCACAATCTTCATTTTGCTCAAGTAGTTCAGTTTCTTGGGATTTTCAAAATAGGTTTTTACTGACACTAATGAAAGGGGGAAAAAAGTTTTACTTTCTTTTAAAACACATTTGGAAATAATGCTAACTCAGCTATGCTCAACTACAAACCTGTCAATCAAACTAAGAGAAAAAGGAAGGATCACCCACTCGACTGCTAATTGCAGAATTACGCTAATTTATAAAATAACAAGAAATGTCTTCAACTGCCACTCTTGCTTCTATTCCATGGTGCCCTTCCTTCAGGGTACAAGAATCTGCTTCCCTTTATATTCTACATGCTCTCGAAATATAATTTTTTTCCTTCCATAGCTTGTAACTTTGCAAATAAATTAATACTCCATAGACCATTGCTTTCCTATATGACAAGTTTTAAAGATATGCTCAAGTGTCATTTTAACAAATAATTACTGAGAGTGTGCTATATGTCTGGCACTATTGGAGGCAGGCATATAGCATACTCTTAGTAATTATTTGTTAAAATAATATTCTGATATTTCTAGCCAGGAAGTTTTCTTTGGACTACACCTGTGACTGGAGTGGTCCTGGGGAGAGCCAGATGTCAGTCACATCTGCCATTAGTGATGTGGTAAGAATTAGCTGACATTAATAGAATCAGAACAGATATATATCACTCACTCTCATTTACTAACATGGTAGAAAATTCAGGAGAGAAATAATGTTTGATCATTTTTCACTTTTAGCTAGAAAGCCCTTGTTAGTCATTTAAAATTCATTTATTTCTCTGATAAACATTGATCAAGAAATAACTAATGAAGAAGCAGCAGCTGTCTTCACTTTTTCTCTGTTACTGGAGGTAGTAAATGTGAACATAGCAATTAAAGGACCCCTCATCAGTATTACCTAAAATCTGTAATGAATGATATCACTTTAACATGCTAAAATTTTTTAATAGCACAATTGTGAGGTCTTTCTTTTTTTCTTTTACTTTTTTTTTTTTTTTTTTTGAGACAGAGTCTCACTGTCACCCAAGCTGGAATGCAATGGTACGGTCTCGGCTCACTACAACCTCCACCTCCTGGGTTCAAGCAATTCTCCCGCCTCAGCCTCCCAAGTAGCTGGGACTACAGGCACATGACACCACGACCGGCTAATTTTTGTATTTTTAGTAGAGACAGCATTTCACCATATTGGTCAGGCTGGTCTAGAACTCCTGACCTCGTGATCCACCCACCTCGGCCTCCCAAAGTGCCGGGATTACAGGCATGAGCCACCGCACCCAGCCGAGGTCTTTCATATTAATGATTTTCCAGTCGAAATATTTAACCAATTAAATGTTTCATGTTAATAATTTTTGAGTCAAAAACTTAACCAATTAAATTTTCAGCATTCTCCTGAAAACTCTTACATCCTCCACTTTATACAAGGAAGGAATAAAGTGCACAATGCCCAGGTTCTCTTCCTGCTCTCAGATTCTGTGATTTCTTTACAGCAAAATTCATCCTTATTTATTCAAAATGTATTAAAACATATATTACAGGCAAAGTTTTAATCAATGCATCATATAAAATTTTTAGCAAGACAACATGTATTTAAAAAGAAAAAACTCCATTTTATTCTCAAAAATAAATTGTAAAGAATAAACATTTCCTCTAAAAAATTTTGAAGCAAAATTGGATCAGTTCACATCCATCTCATTTGGGGATAATCTACATAAGCAAGAAGGTCGTGAACATTGAAAATTTATAGTCTTTTAAGACAAATTACAATTTTCTCAAACTTGTGCCTATTTTTCACAGAGAAGGCATAGAGAAAGATCTTGAAATAAGTGTTAGAATGTTAGTCCTACAGAAAAGAAATATAGGCTCTGCCAACGTGGGGGCCAAGACTCCAATACTGTCTTCCCACCAAAAAAAATCACATAATTTTCTTAGGGGACACTGATTCATGTATGCATGGTTTTGCCCAAAAATATTCAATGCATACCTAATATCAATCTCATGGGGGCTATTTGTTCAACGCTGGTCACATTGGGGCTCTGCTCATTGTAATCATTCAAGGACACAGGACGTTGCAAACCCTGCCCACCCATAATGCTGACCTCTCAACAAGAAGCTTTCAGTTTCCTGAGGCAGGGTTAAGACCATGAGAATCACACTACTCTTAAACATTTGTTTCTCTAAAAGTGAGTCTCTGTTCACATTTTGTTGCTAAAGGAAGGAGTCTGACCATGCCTAACTTTAAACGGAAGAGGCATATAATCCTCTAAGGATCCAGGAAGGAAAAGAGAATGAGAAATATCAGTAAGTGATAGAAATGTCTGTCATGACACTCAAATCTATCTAGACCCCAAAGACATTTCGACATTAGGTTATGTTCAGTCTAGCATTTTATGATGTGCAGTCTAATTTTAAAGGAATATATTAAATACTTCTTGATACTTTCCAAAGCTTTTGGATTCCTACTGGAAATGCAATAATACCAGAATTAATTAATTAATTAATAAGTAATAAAAAAATTCATTGCCAACTGGGCATGTAACTACTACAGGGAGATGAGATTTTCTCCAACAAGGACTAGCAAGACCAACATGAGGTCAAGTTGTGCTAATCAAGGTTGGCCACCTGCCTGGGCTGAGTAAATGAAACATATGGAGTGAGGTGAGAGGTGAAATCCTGTTTATTCCAAAGTAACTCCCCCACTGCCCAGTCATGGCACCTTCCTGAAACTCCTTCAGGGCCTGAAATTCCTACAGGGCCTGAAATTCCCACCCCTAACTAGCAGATTTGTTCCTTTCATCTCAACTTTAAAAAACTCAGGGCATGGCCTTGAAAAGAACAGAGTTAACATTGTCATGAATTATTGGTGAATTGCATTTTTGATTAATGATGAGGTTTCTTAAAAGAAATGCAAGCTTTGACTATACTAACTGGCATGTATGTCAGAATTAGGCAAACCATAAGCCCGCCTCTCAGTGCTGAACAAGCCACATCTAGAATAATGTACTCTGGGAGCTCTGTTTCCAGAAAGTTGTCAATATACTGAAGCTTATTGAAAGATGAATAACCCAAAAGATGGAACAGTGGGAACACATACTATAAAAAATATTAGAAAAGAGTCTTGAGTGTCACCCTGCAGCAATTATATACCCAGGTGACAATGAAATGTTTATTTCCTATTTGTTCATTAATTAATTATTTCTGGTATTGTTTAATTTCCAGTAGGTGTTCAAAACTTTGGAAAGTATCAAAGTATCTTCTATGCTCAAAATGCCTCGCACTATCTTCTTCCAAGTTATGTGGATATAGCTCTTCTCTTGGTAAAAGCCACTCTCCCATCTCACCCAGCATCCATCCTTCCCTTAGCAATTACTTCAATGGGAGAAAATTCAGAGCATCAGAGAACAAAACAATCCATCACAGGTATTTGCTTGGGTTATGAATGTAGAACCTGAGTGCCACTTTCTTCCAAGATGAAATCTGGTGCAGATTTCAACAAACAACAGGATCTCTGAGTCCAATCTTAATAACCATACACTCCTTCAATAGTGTCCAGGTGATGTGCCAGCATTAATTCCTTGTTTTTGGTGCAACTTTGATCTTAATAATTCTATAAAGAAAATATTATGGAGAAATTGAAATGATACTGTGGCTGATCATGGCATCCTCTTATGCAAGATCCTGTTTTTTCACTAAGTACCTATTTGATAGAAAATAGGGAAAAATGCCATGTAAGAATTGTAAAATCAGTTCCTTTATAAATAAAAAGAAAGGCTTACAACTAAAGTGGCTAGCAAAAGAGGACAATAAAAATAAATGGTAATACAGAAACTTAGTGGAATATCATCCCTACACTTAAAGACTATGAATCAATATTATATAAAGTTAAGATAAATGGCACACTATAAACTGCATGCACATTAAAATGATGTTTTCATAGGAACAATGATTGGAAGGAAATTCAGATTCAAACAATTACATTAAAATGCTTGATGTTTAGATTAGATTAGATTAGATTAGATCAGATTAGATTAGATTAGATGACCTAATCTAGCTCTATCACCAAACCTCTGCTGAGTTTCATTCATTTAAAAAAAGCCATGTGCTAGATTTAAAGAATACAAAGAAAAAGCAGGAAACAGTTACTTTCTTCAGAGCACTTAAAGATCTTTGTAAGTTTTTTTGTTTGTTGTTCGTTTGTTTGTTTGTTTTTGAGACAGAGTCTCGCTCTGTCGCCCAGGCTGGAGTGCAGTGGTGCTATCTCGGCTCACTGCAAGCTCCGCCTCCCGGGTTCACGCCATTGTCCTGCCTCAGCCTCCCGAGTAGCTGGGACTACAGGCGCCCGCCACCACGCCCGGCTAATTTTTCATATTTTTCACCGTGTTAGCCAGGATGGTCTCCATCTCTGGACCTTGTGATCCGCCCGCCTCGGCCTCCCAAAGTGCTGGGATTACAGGCGTGAGCCACTGCGCCCGGCCCAGATCTTTGTAAGTTTTTTAAAAAGATGAATAAACAGGCACTTATAATGCAATTTGGTAAGAACAGTGATAGAAACATAAGTTCCCAGTGAGCTGAGGAGCACATACAGACAGCCCCTTAAACTAGTCTGTGGTGAGATGGTTAGGGAAAAGGTACAGAAAGGATTTCACAGAACTCAAGAGATCTCATTAAAGTCTTAAAAAACAAATAAAAACTATCCAGGACAAAATATGGCTGTAGGGAGTGAATGACACTGGAAGTGGATAGGAAGCCAAAGCAAAGACAGACGGGGACAATTGCAGGTGTCCAGCACAGCTGGAGCACAGAATCCAGAGGTCAGAAGAGATGGCAGGCATGAGGGGGAGAAGTCGGCAGGGACCAAATCCTCAAAGAGTTCCCATTGCTTCTCATTCTTCTAGGAAACGAGGGCTTTTTCCAAGGCAGAAATACGTTCTAGAAAGGCCATGCTGATGTACTATGGGAAATGGGTTAGGCACTAGCAATAATTCAGGAGAAAATCATAAAAACCTGAACGAAGATGGTAGCAGTGAGGATGGGGAGAAAGAGCTTGAGACAGCAACACACTGAGTAAATGAGACTTGATAAGAGACCAAATTTCAGGGTAAGAGAAAGAAATAAATCCAAAGGGATCCTGATGTTGATGGCTCAGTCATCTTGATTCCTCAAAATGGGGAAGTTCGGGAAGAAAAGCAAGATAGAGGTGGAGGTGAATTCTGTTTGCATTTGTTATAGTTTAGTGACTGTGAGAGATGCTGCATAGATGGTTTCAGTAGGGAAAGATCAAAGCTAGAAAGGTAAACTTGAGAGTCATCAAAGTAAAGAAGTGTAAAGTCATAGGAAGGGATATGATCTCCCAAGAGTTTCAGTGTGGTAAGAAGAACATGGACTGGCAGGGCGCGGTGGCTCACGCCTGTAATCCCAGCATTTTGGGAGGCCGAGGTGGGCGGATCACGAGGTCAGGAGATCGACACCACCCTGGCTAACACGGTGAAACCCAGTCTCTACTAAAAATACAAAACATTATCCGGGCGTGGTGGCGGGCGCCTGTAGTCCCAGCTACTCGGAAGGTTGAGGCAGGAGAATGGCGTGAACCTGGGAGGCGGAGCTTGCAGTGAGCCAAGATCGCGCCACTGCCCTCCAGCCTGGGCTACAGAGCAAGACTCCGTCTCAAAAAAAAAAAAAAAAAACAAAACAAAAAAAAGAAGAACATGGACACATGGAAACACTCATGAAGAATTCTGCCATTTAAAGAGAGAGTAGAGGAAGAAATGTCCACAAGAGACTGATAAGGAACAGCCAGAAGAGCAGAAGGAGACACTGGAGAAAGAAAGGATCTGGAAATCAAACATTCTCAACACGCTTGGTTCGAAAATAGGCTCAAATGCAGCAGAGAAGATACTGCAAAACGTCCACCAGTCAGGTTACAAAGGAGAAATGGAAACAAACGAGAGAAGTTCAACGGAGTGGTGGACAGGGCAAGTGTTGAGTACGTGCAGAGAATAAGAGGACGAGGGAAATGGAAGTCATAAGGTAGACGGTGATAAAATTTCTCAGTAACTTGGATGTGAAGAAGACAACGGTAGACAAAGCAGCAAGGGAAATGGATTAAAGAAACAGTAAGAGAGCAGAATCATGGATGATTTGTCAGCTAGATGGGAAACTGCTTAATGTCTTGCAACCATTCCCTTTTCCCCAAACAATGATGCGATCTTAGTTCACATTTCCTCATTTGGGATCAGGGTTACTCTAAGGGGTTCCCATCCCCCTCTAATCCATTAAACGGGCTGGAGGGGAAGGTCTGTTTGTGTTTCTTTCTCTGATTTTTTTTTCCAAGATTAGAGAATGTTGAGAAGGCAAGGTGCTGAGAGAAAACTTCAAAAACTAGTAAAAAATGGCCGGGCACGGTGGCTCACGCCTGTAATCCCAGCACTTTGGGAGGCCGAGGCGGGCGGATCACTTGAGGTCGGGAGTTCAAGAACAGTCTGACCAATATGAAGAAACCCCGTCTCTACTAAAAATACAAAAATTAGCCGGGAGTGTTGGCGCATGCCTGTAATCCCAGCTACTTGGGAGGCTGAGGCAGGAGAATCACTTGAACCTGGGAGGCGGAGGTTGTGGTGAGCCGAGATCGCGCCATTGCACCCCAGCCTGGGCAACAAGAGTGAAACTCCGTCTCAAAAAAAAAAAAAAAAAAAAAAAAAAAAACTAGTAAAAAATAAAAAGCCTGAACATTCTAGAAAAGGGGACACAAAGGTGGAAGTGTGTAGCAAAGGCCAACACTGAGCTTCAGAGGAGGAAAGTTTCCCTCTGCGGAGCCAGACCAAAGAAGGAAAGGAAGGGCGCAGATAAAGGTATGTTTACAGTCAAGTAAGGAAAAGCAAAACTCAAAAAAATGATTTACATTGTTTTAATCCTTTGCTCAATCACCAAGAATTTAGTCATTATCACAAATGAGGCTATATTGTAATAAACATTTATTTAAGCCCTGCAATAAAAAAAAAACCTGACTGGTGGGTACAAGAAAACCCAAACAAAGCATTACCCGGCATGAAGACAACAGTGGTGCCAAGAACTACAGGACAGAGCATCTCTAGCTAGATTATCAGGGCTACTTTGACAGGAGATATTTAACTAATTTGTAAAAAGTGATTAAGAAAACATTTTAGATGTAGCGAATGGCACTAATTAATATTCAGTAAATAATATAGCTTATTATGCCCAAAGTTGACACTCAGCGATTCCTTGGCCCCAGGGTGAGTTGAAGGGAAGTGAATGTGAGTGGGCTAAGGAAGAACAGATGATGGAACTATCAACTTGAGGGAGAGGTGTGCAGGATGGGCACAGGGCTGGGGAGAATAGAGAGAATGCCTCTCAGAGCCCCTCACTTCATCACCAATAACCATCATCTCTGATGACACACAGGGGTGTTCCAATTCCATCCATGCAGCACCCTCATTCTCCACCCTTTATTCTCTTTGTCCAGCCTGCATTCTCTTTGTTGTCAGTAATTTTATACTCAAAACATAAACATTTTAATTTCCCATAGAAAATTTCCAAAAATTCTATGTACTGGATCTTAATTAATTCTAGAATATAGGTATCAAACAGAAAACATTCTCTCACCAAAATGTGATATAGCTAGAAATGTCAAAAAAAAAAGAAAAATGAAATACCGCTACCAATTAGAAATGTTTAAATTCACTATAAATAACACTTAGCTCAAAGAAGAATTCAAATCCAAAGCCGTGGCATACTTTTAAGAGATAATGAAAAACAACAGATTTCAGAACTTAAGAGACACAGTTAAAGCACTGTTCAGAAGAAAATCTATAGCTTTAATTATTTTTATTATTAACCCAAGAACAATGAAAATAAATTAAATATTTAACTCAAACAATTACAAAAGACATCAAAATAAAATTTAAAAGAGATGAAAGTAAACTACATTTTAGTCAGAAATAAATGAATTATGAAACAAGGAAAATGAAAAGTGAAACTAATTATTAAATTCAAGAGCTGGTTCTTATAAAATATAAAACACATAAACTACTAAAGTACTCTAATAAAGAAAAAAGAAAGAACATAAATACCAAAATTTAGAATAATAAGGTAAAAATAAGATACAGACAAAATTTTTGAATGTTGAATTTATTGTTCAACCCTATGCAAATAAATTTAAAAACTTGAATGAAATGGAAGATTTTCTGAAGAAAAGTTTACATTACCTAAACTCCAACAAGATTTTTTAATGTAAAACACACCAATTGACATCTTTTTTTAAATGGTTGACAAATTTTCCAAGATATATGCCCTCCCATGATGGTATCTGACCCAAAGAATTTACAGAAAAATTTTAACAAGTCATTAAGGAACAGGCATTTCCAATACTATTTAAACTGTTCTACACTACAAAGAAAAAAGAAAAAGTTCCTAAGTATTTTTGTAAAGCTATTACCAATGAAAATATAATACACAAAAGCCAAGACAACCTTATGGGTCAATCTCACTTGTAAGTATCAAGGGAAAGTTCTTAATAAAATTTTAACAAATAGAATTGAGAGTATATACTAAGAATAATAAAAAGCTACCAGGCATGGTGGTGGGTACCTGTGGTCCCAGCTACACGGGAGGCTGAGAGAAGAGAATTACTTGAGTCCAGGTGTTTGAGACTCTCCTGGGCAACATAGCAAGACCTTGTCCCTTAGTAGTAGTAATAATAATAATAATAATAGTAATAATATTAAGAAGAAATACTCCTTGATGACAAATGAGATTCATTTTAAGAATGCAAGAATGGTTCGACATTAATACTAAACATAATATCTATGAAGCAAAGGAGGCAACATATCATAAGATTATGTCCTAGTTTCTAAAGGAACATTTTATAATATTCAACATAATATTGTGCAACAATTACCCCTGACGTTTTGAAACTCCCAATAAATTATAAGTAGATGACTGTTTCTGAAATTTATGTATCTTGAGTCAAATTGCAGCATCATGATTAATTGTTAAATACTAGTAGCATCTTATTTTATTAGAGTCAGGAATAAGATAAAATTTTACCATTATCCATAATATTGACTAATATTATTTCTGAAAATGCTAACTACAGAATACAGAAATAAAAGTTGTAAAAATTAAAAAGAAAAAGGCAAAATTTTATTGTTTGCCAATATTATAATTGAATAGCATGAACTAACAAACTGTTAGAAGAACTAAAAAGACCCAGTTGGCTTATTACAAAATTACCAATAAAATCAATGTATTTCCTGTATAAGACAACAATCATCAGAAAAATAAGTTTTAAAACCTCATTTACAATAGGAGCATTTTAAAAAAGAATAAAATACCTAAAACTTAATAAACCAGGCCAGGCACACTGGCTCACACCTGTAATCCCAACACTTTGGGAGGCTGAGGTGGGAGGATTGCTTGAGCCCAGGAGTTCAAGACCAGCCTGGGCAACATTGTGGAGCCCTGTCTCTACAAAAAACAAAATTAAAAAATTTAGCCAGACATGGTGGTAGGTGCCTGGAGTCCTAGCTACTCAGGAGGCTGACATGCAAGGATGGTCTGAGCCCAGGAGGTTGAGGCTACAGTGACCAGTGATGGTGTCACTGCACTCTGGCCTGGATGACAAGAGTGAGAACCTGTTTCAAATAAAACAAAACAAAAACCCACACATACACAGAAGAAAAAAATAAATCTAATAAGGCTCATTGAAGAGTTCTATAAAAAAATATTAAAACTCTACTGAGATACATAAAGACATCAAAAAGTAAAGATAAATACTGAGCACTCATACAGAACCACTAAATGTTTTAAATGGCTCAATTATTCCAAATTTTATTGATATATTTAATATTCCAAGCACAATGCAAGAGTTTATTTAAGTTGGCAAGCTCATTCTAAACTTTATATTAGAAAACAAAAGGCAAGAATACTCAGGAAATTTACAATAAAGAGTAATAAGGAGAAACCAGACCTGCCATGTAGTAAATAGTCATCAAAACCTTTCAGTAGCAGAGGTCAAATAAACAGATCAAGGTACAGAGTAGAGAATTTAAAAATATATCCACATAAATATATGAATCCATTATGCTAAAGGTGGCACTTTAAGTCTTGGAGGAAAAAATAGGTTGTTCAATAAATGCTGTTACAATAAATGACATGGGTGGGAAAAAGTCATGTGTGATCCCCATCCCACTCTATCAAAATCTTACCTATTTTGATAGAATTTATTTTAATTCTAGATGCTTCAAAAATTTATTTGTTGAAGAAAAGTAAAAATGAAATCATGGAGAGGTTTACTTCTATGAAGACAGAATAAACATACTTTTCTTTCTTCCTCCACTAAGTAGAACAAAAATACCTGGGCATTAGCACAATTTGCAAGTGCAAAAATGTGGAACCAGCTCAAATGCCCATCAATCAATGAGTGGATAAAGAAACTGTGGTAGATAGAGAGATGATAGATAGATAGATAGATGATAGATAGATAGATAGATAGATAGATAGATAGATAG
Organism: Homo sapiens; assembly: GCF_000001405.40. NCBI lineage: Eukaryota > Metazoa > Chordata > Mammalia > Primates > Hominidae > Homo > Homo sapiens. The sequence continues at coordinate 17,773,343 of NC_000005.10, read as the reverse complement.
ATAGATAGATAGATGATAGATAGATAAATAGATAGATGATAGATAGATAGATGATAGATGATAGATAGAGATATAGAGATGGAATACTACTCAGCCATAAGAAGGAATGAATTAATGGCATTCACAGCAACCTGAATGGTATTGGAGACTATTATTCTAAGCAAAGTAACTCAGGAATGGAAAACCAAACATCATATGTTCTCACTTATAAGTGGGAGCTAAGCTATGAGGATGCGAAGGCATAAGAATGATACAATGGACTTTGGGGACTCAGGGGAAAAGAGTGGGAAGCGGGTGAGGGATAAAAGACTGCAAATCAGGTTCAGGGTATACTGCTCTGGTGATGGGTGTACCAAAATCTCACAAATCACCACTAAAGAACTTACTTATATCAACAAATACCAGCTGTTTACCCAAAAAATAAAACCATGGAAATGAAAAAATTTTTAGAAATAAAATACATGGGCATTATCCATCAAACAAACATAGAAAATGTTGAAATGTGGAGAAGGCAAATGGGCCAGAGACCTTGGGATGTGAGGTACCTCCTTAGAGGGGAGTTCCCTGAATTTCTATTTTGCCTCATAGATCCCAGCCTTGAGCTGAGGAAAGCAAAGCTGACACCTGAAAATCCCATGAATTCAAACCCAAAAAGCCCCAACAGAAGCCCAATCCCTCCAGCCAAAGACCAAGATGGGGCAGCCCATCAAGACAGGAACTTTCAGACAGGAAGCACTCTACGCCAGCCACACACCATAGGATAAAGGTCTGTGGCCCCACTCCCACCCACCGCAACAATGACCACATGGGACACTGACTTCCGCCTTCTCCAGGCTGCAGCGAGGCACCCACCGACCTCAGGTTCAGTCAGGCATCTGGGAAGACTGGCCTTCCACACACAGCTGGCAATAGCAAGCTGCCACTCCCCATCCCTACCAGGGTGATGTGCGAGGAGGCCCAGTGGAGGGTCTGGGCTTTCAGCACTACCAGTGGTAATGAAGCCACCTCCCCACTCTGTGGTATCAGTGGAGGTTATGTGAGCATGAGTTACTTCTACCCCTCCCAGCCAAAGAGGTATCAGTGGAGAGCTGCTGGGGAACTAGAATCCAACCATCATCCAGCAGTGACAAAGAGCCCCAGCAGCAATGTGACAGCCACGATGCAACTAGCTGAGAGAGCAATTTACAAACATATTTACAACAAATGAAAAATAGTCTAAACAAATATAAAATATGTAAAGAAGAAGAACCAAACGGGAATCTTAGAACAAAAATATATAATACTGTAGCTGAAATAAAAATCTCAGTGGATGGGCTCCATGGCAGAATAAAGGGGACAGAGGAAAGAGATAATGAACTGAGAGATAAAGCAATTTGCTATTTGCTACAATGAGTAAATCTGAAAAGGAGAAAATCTAATCTATTTTCCAAATAGATCTAAATTTATATTATCTGAGTCCTTGAAAAAAAATAACTCAAAGTTATTCAAAGTTATAGTGGCTGAAACCTTTCCAGTTTGGCAAAAGACATAAATATATAGATTCAAGAAGCTGAGGGAACCACAAATAGGAGAAACCCAAAGAAATCCACACCAAGATAAATCATTTTAATTCTGAAAATTAAAGACAAAGGGAGAGGCAGAGCAGAGGTCAGGCTGCACCATCTGCGGTCCAGCTGCGTTTTTCTGCTATTGATCTTTTGTTCTCCTTCATCCTTGGGCTCATAGAAAGATGGAATCCACATTTCTGGGTCTCCCAAATGCATCAATCTTAAGAGAAATAAATAGAACTTCTCTCTCAATGGTTTTAGAATTGAGAACACTTATTTCCCAAAATCTACAAAGAAACCTTCTGTTGTATTTTATTGGGCCAAATTTGGTTCTATGCCTGTTTCTAAAGCAATCCCTGGGCTAAGAGAGTGCCTTATACTGATTGGCTTAGCCTGGGTTTTCTAAAGCAATCTTTATGGCAAAGGAGAGGAACTATTTGATTAAATCAAAAATTAGGTCCCATCCTGGTGTGTGGTGAAATAAATCCCTCCCAGTGTACCACAAATTATAGAGTTCTCTAGCAATTAATATGGATCAAGCACTGTCCATGTGATAGGAGATGAGGGCTAAATTAATAACGGGCATCTTGAATTTACCTTCTTTTTCAGGCAACATGTATACATCCATTGGATTTTCTGTAATTAAAGTCCCCAGCCTCCAAATTATAATATTTCTGAACTGAGAATTGCAAGCAAGGCTGGAAGGGTGGCAGTGGGCTCATTGGTAATAAAGCCAGTGTTCCTCCTTTGGCTTATCTCAAGAATATAACATTTTTCCTATCAAGCAGACTTTGCTATGCAGACCACCTACAAGTTTATAAATCAAGTCTCCCAAATATCTGAAGACAACCTATACAAAAGGAAGCGTCCATCAGCTTGATGTGCTACTAAGCATGAGGAGGCATGGCCACAAGGCCTTTGTCTGACATGTACTTGCCTTTCTCACACTGTTAGTTTCTCACTACACAGTAAATAAGATCCTCTACATTAAAAACTATGTGTCACTCCTCACCTCCCTTCCTTCTATATACAAAAAAAAAGAAGCTGAAACTTAAAGTATGACTTATCTAATGATATATAATTGGTAAATTTTTGATTCATAACCAGTTAGTTGAACTCTGCATTCGGGACTGTCTTCATCATACATCTAAGATTTTTTTATTAGCTGGTGACATCATTCACCAAGACAATTTAAGTTCAATTTTTATAGAAATTGTTATAAACAGGTCATAAAAAAACATTAAAATACCACTCCTCTATTTTAATTCTTTCTTAAAAACAAATAATTAAAAATAGATGTGCCTGCTGCAGGATGCCATGGTCACTTGCAGATGTGTGGCAGAAAAATCATTTCTGATTCTTATTTAACCTGGTGGTTCATGAATTAACCATCAGAGGGCCCCCAAAAATGAACTTCCAAATCAATGTAATTAACATGCTCAGCTAATTTATGTATAGGAAGGTTTATGACTTCTTCCTTCAAATTTTTAGAGTATAAGGAAATCCTTGGGAATTGTTTTCTCTAAAATTAATGTGACATGTGACTTGGAGGAATTTGGACAGCTTCAAGGTCTTCTAAGAATAATAAATATTTCTGCCACAAGGAAACTCTTTGAATTCATCAGTTAATGTCATGATCTCAGCAGCCTGGCCCCAAATAGGGGAACCACTCTAGTAATTCTTCTGCTATCAAGTCACTGTGTTATTTGAATATCTTTTTATTAATGCACTTAATATTTTAAGCAGCAAATTGTAGACACTGTCTACCAAAGTGACACATTAGGGACATGGGATCCCTGAGTTGCTTTTGCTGTTTGCTAGTGCCCCAGCTGGGAGACTCTTTGCTGAGTTGCCCATCTAAGCAAAGAGTCTCCTGGCTGGGGCACTAGCAAAGGGCAAAAGAAAACTTTCAGAACATTTTGCTTATGAGCCAGTATTTCAACTCATGCCAGCAAAGATCACGTAATAAAAATATGTAGGTATTAGTTAAATGCAATTCAAAATTACTTTATGAATTTTACACACTGTGCAGCTAAATAACACCACTGAGGGGTGTGTTATAAAAATGTAGCATATAGACACTAATAAAAATCTAAATTTCTTCTTTGGAAATAAAAATGCATCTAGATCTATCTTAACAAACCCTGAGGACTGCAACCTTGTGGTGAGCTGCAGAACTCTTTGTCAAAATATTTAACCTGGATTCAGGGTGACAAACTATCTGTATTTCCCACAGCCACTCCTAATGGCTCTAGAAGGAAATATGGCTTCCATAGCAGCCACGCTGCTGTAATTGGTAAGTAGGAAGGCTCATAAATTCAGTAATTATGACCTGTTATGGAAAAATGCAGCTGGGTTCTGACTGGTTTGAGTGTCCCTGGGGGGTTCATCAGTCAACAATCATTTATGGAGCATTTACTATGCTCAGGCAACGTTCTCAGCACTGGGGATATAGAAGTAAAGAAGGTAGTGAGTGTACCTATCCTTACAAAATTCACATTCTCATAGGTGCGGGGAAATGGGCAGCTAGTATACATGGAAACTAATAGATCTGATCATTTCACCAGACACTAACAAGAGCTATACTTAAAGTAAGATAATTTTATATAGACAGAGAGTGGTCAAGGAGATCCTCTCTGAGAAGTGACATCTGAGGTGAACCCATTTGCTAAGGTGGGGTTAATGGATGGGGTTAATGGGGTTAATTTGTTAATGGAGAAAGGGCTGATTAACATCCCAAGGCAGAGTCCAAAGCCATGTCCCAAAACTAGAATGAACTTCCATTTAAAAAAAAAATTGAATCTCATATTACCCTCTTCTGTATGTGAAGTGCTTTCTTACATAGGGCTTTAGCTGGTCCACACAGCAACCTTGAGACATGCCTATTATCATTCTTGTTTTGCCTGTGAGAGAATGGAAGCAAAATAGAGATGTTTAGCAACTTTCTCAGGGTCACATATAAATACCTAGCACAGCACTAATTTAACCTGGGTCTTATCTCAAATCCTATGCAACACATAACCTTTCACAGATGCCAAGACATTCGTGTGTTAAGGAAAAGCTGAAATATTTGTAGGACTTTCTTGAGTCATTATTTTTATTATCCAGGAAAATAAACATGTCATTTAACATGAAAAAAAGAGAGGGAAAAAAAGAGGCATTTTGGTTCTTTCCAATACCAGGTATTACAGCCAAGGGCCTAGGCTGAGGGGAATTACCTTCATTATAAAGAGCAGCTGAGACAGCTGATATTACATTGCATTTGCCTATGTTAAAAGATAGTTCAGAATCTGTCTATGGAAGCAAAAGGGATAATAATTAAGAAGAGTGGGGAAGAAATTTGGAAGCTCAGATGCTTAAATTCCAGATGACGAGAGAGACATCATAGACCCAAAGAAAATGGCAACCAATTGGCTTATTTTACATTCATAATCATGAACAGAGGTATCTTTAGGTGGTAATCAACACTTATACTAAAAGTGGCAAAATTACTGAGCACTGACATTTTGTTTATTTTTGTCTTTTCTGTTTACTTTCAAAACCACCTAGATGGAAATGAAAAGCAGGAAAAAAATGAGGGGGAAGAGGAAAAAAAAATCAAAGACATAGAAAACTGTCATTATTACAGCAAGGCACTTAATTAGTACTGAGCAGTGTATTCCATAGCATATTTTTGGTTCTATGCAAAAATCTTTTTTTCTAATTTGCATTTTAGTCATAAATCTATGGTGAGTACATAGAGAATGTCCCCTCTCCTGTCCATCAGCTGTCTCTGTCTCTGAAGTAAAACTACCTGCATGGCTGTGCCAGCCTAACATGCCCTGACCTTTCATGGAGGATAAGACTGTGAAAGTACAATCATAGTGCCAACAAGCAATTACAAACTTTAGAATCTAAAATGGCTCTTTAAATTTAAATTAATAAAATTTGAGATGGGGAGCAGTAGCTCATGACTGTAACCATCACCCCAGCACTTGGGGAGGCAAAGGTGGGAGGATTATATGAGGCGAGGAATTCAAGGCTAGCCCGGGCAGCATAGCAAGACCCCATCTCTACAAAAATTAAAAAATTAGGTGGGCATAGTGGCATGCACCTGTACCAGCTACTCAGGAGGCTAAGGTGGGAGGATGGCTTGAGCTCAGAAGTTTGAGGCTTCAGTGAGCTAGGATTGTACCACTGCACTCCAGCCTGGATGACAGAGTGAGACCCTGTCTCTATAATAAAATAAAAATAAAATTTGAAATTTGTTTGTCCAGTCACACTAGCCACATTTTAAGGGCTCAGTAGCCACAGATGGCTTATGGCTCCTGTGTTGGGCAGTGCAGCTTAGAACATTCCCATCAACACAGAGTTCTATGTGACAACCCTAGACCAGACAACTCTTATCAAATGAGAGAAATCCCAGCTCCTCTCCATCCAGAGTGTCTCATACACTCCATGTTTTCCATTCCAGAAGTCCCCTTACTTGATTTTTATTCTGTTCTAGTGTTGATTTCCTGTCTTCAATCTCTTTGCCATATTAATCATAGAACAGTAAGTTTAGCTATAGAGGCAAATTTAATGACATTTGTTCCAACACCATTATCTTGCAAATGAGGAAGTGTCAGCCTATTGAGGTAAAATGTACCCATTCATTCAATCAATATGTAGTTAGTGCCTACGTATTCTAGAAACTGAGAACAGACCAAACCCCAACCCTCATGGAGCATCAAACTGAATACAGGAACAAGCAATAAAATACAAACAAGAAAGGCATAAGGGTAGGAAGGAAAATAATTCAGGATGCGACAGAGAAAAGGATGAGTGCAAAAAAGAAGTAGTTGGAAGCAGTAGTTGTAGCTTCTCCATGGAGGGAGGCCAAAGAAAGATTCTCTGCAAAAGTGAGAATTGAAAGAAGGCCTGGGTATGTGAAAGAATCAGCCATGCAAAGGTCTCAGGTAAGAGCATCCCAAGCATATTCCAAACAGCAAGCAAAAGTCCATGGAGTCGGAATGAGCTTGGTATGTCCAAGAAGGAGAAATAAGAGCAGAGATGCTGGAGAAAAGTAGAAAGTGGGAAGTGAAGGGAGGTGAGGTTTGAGAAATAGCCAAGGGCCAGTTCCTATAAGACCATAGATTAGTTATCTATTGCTGCATAACGAACTCCCCGCACGTGGCTTGAAACAGCATTAAGTATCTCACAGTTGCCATAGCTCAGAAATCTGGTGCAGTTGGGCTGGATCCTGCTTACTGAATCTGCTACCTCCTCTGTTCTGTTTTTTGCCCTCACCTCCTCCTTCTATCCCTGCAATCAAGGTAATGGCCAGGGTCGTGATCATCCGAAGACTCAACTCAGTGGATCCAGAGGATCCACTTTCAAGTTTTGTTACCAAGATTCAAATTCTTGGGGGCTGTTAGACTGAGGATTTCAGTTCTTTGCCGGCCAGAAGCAACCCTCGGTTTCTTGTCTTGTGGGCCTCTCCAAGATGGCAGCTTACTTCATCAAAGTGAGCAAACAGAGAAGTTCAGAGGCCTCTAGCAAGAGGGAAGTTGTGGTCTTTTGTATCCTAATCATAGAAGTGAAGTGCCATCATTTCTTCCTTATTCTACTTGTTAGAGCACATGAGGAGGTCTAACCCACACACTGCAGGAGGGACATACACAGGAACATGAGTAAGAGGAGCCAGGGATCATTGGAGTACATCTTAGATGTCTACCCAGCAAAGGTCACATGGCCCATAGGAAGTTGACTTTTACCTAAGTGTCATTGGGAGGCCAAGAATGGTGGCACAAGCCTGTAATCCCAGCATTTCAGGAGTCAAGGCAGGAGGATCACTTGAGTCCAGGAGTTTGAGACTAGCCTGGGCAACATAATGAAATCCTATTTCCACATAAAAAAAATTAGCCAGGTATGATGGCACACCCCTGTAGTCCCAGCTACTTGAAGAGCTGAGGTTGAAGGATCATTTGAGCCTGAGAGGTTGAGGCTGTAGTGAGCCATGATGGCATCACTGTACTCCAGCCTGGGTAACAGAGCAACACCATGTCTCAAAATATGGTCAAAAACAAAAACAAAACAAATAAACACAAAAAAAGTCCCACACCAACAACAACCCAGTGATTAGGAGATATTGGGAAGCTTCAATCAGGGAACTGACATGATCTGATCTTCAACTCAGGACTTGGTGGTTATATGTGGAAGAGATAGATGCAGAGGGCCACTGTGGAAATAGGAAGACCCACAGAGGCTACTCCGATTGTTCTTTGATATGTGATGGAGCTAAGAAAACAGTGAGATGCTGTCAAGTTTGAGATCCACTCTAAAAGTAGAACCTACAGTGTTTGCTTATGAGTTGCATATGGAGGTGAGAGAAAAAGACAGGGACCCTAACAAAAAGGCTAAACTAGCTGAATCAGTCTCCACAGAAAGCCTTCCCTGGAAAATCCTCCAAGAAAGAGACTTCATGTTTCCTTGCACTTTCTTTCTCCCTGCATCTCTTCTGACACTTCTCTGATATCTTCACAAGTCATTTTATATTGTTGATGCTTAGGAAAATCTAGAATTTCCACTTTTTAATATGCTGGAACAGGTACTCACGTGCTAAAACTGTAGGGAAAGTGGGATACAAAAATAGTTGTCATTATTTATTACCAAAGATATGATACTGTCTTTTTAAATATGCATCCCAGTTTTTCAAACTCACCAGTATATTTAACATGTGCTCTTTGTTCCTATTTTTATGTAAAAATGGAAATACTTTTATTCTCTTAAACAAAAAAATGCGAATAAGAAGAGAAAAGGAAATGATTTTAGCAGAACATTAGGAGGCTGGCTGCACATTTTTAATGTTTGGGCATCAATAACAAATTGCTGTACTCTGAACTCACAGCATGGATACGATATTAGCTCTTCCAGGGAGAGTCTGACTTATTGCACATATGTCCTCTGAAACCACTAAGAGCTCAACAGGATAAACAGGGTAGTATACATGTTTTATGCGCCTTTTTTATTTACTCCAGGTTTTGTCTTAGGCTAAATCTGTGTGTAGCCAAATACCAAACAAACAAAACTCAAATGGCTCATGGTTAATACAAAACAATGCAGTTTTTCTTCTCAAGTTTGAATAATTAATCCAGATTGCTTCATGACTAAAGCAACCGATGCCATCTTTGCCCTAAGCAAAATATGATTTCGCTTTAGAGTTCACTTACTTTCACTTCATGCCCCTCTCTTTGATCTCTCCCACCCACTCCTTAAACACAAGGTTCTATCTTCAATGTGTGTTTCTTACGGGGAATAGGATCTCCTAGGCACAGTCAAGATTCACAGAAAAGAGATATCCCACAGAGCCTGAGTTTTCCCATCACTCATCCTTGATGTTACACCCTACAGGTAACCTCTGCACGTACTAGAAGCATGACATGCTCCATTTTATAAGGGTCAACATGAGCACTCATTCAATATCAGTGATAATACCTGTGTTTATTCTAACAAAAGTCAAATTTTTGAGTTTTAAGAAAGTACATTTTTCCTAATTCTCATATCTTTTCAAAAAATGCTTCACATAAAAATTTCTGATGATTTCAAGAATATGTCTGCATTTCTTTAGAAAGAGAGAGAGAGGGAGAGGGAGAAAGAGAATATGAATTAACAAGTTGGGAACACTGAAATGAAGATAGGAGAGTGACTTTAGGTTTAGCCTTAAAGGGCCCATGGTGAGACCTGACTATTCAGTCCAAAATTTGCCAACTCAAAACTATATCCATATGTGTTTGATCCCAGGATATGGCTATGAATAAGGAGCTTGTCTTAGTCCATCTTGTGTTGCTATAACAAAATACCACAGACTAAGCAATTTATTTAAAAAAAAAAAAAGAAAGAAAAAGAAATTTACTTCTTAGAGTTCTGGGGATTAAGAAATCCAAGGCTGAGGGTCTGGCATCTGGTGAGGGTCTTCTTGCTGCATCATCCCATGGTAGAAAGTAGATGAAAAAGAATGTGGGAGAAAGAGAAAGAGAGCAAGAGAGGACAGAACTCACCTTTAGAACAAGCTCATTCTCAAGATAACTAATCCACTCCACAATAATAACGTGTGTCTGTTCATGAGGACAGAGCCCTCATGACTTAATCACCTATTACTGGGCCCCACCTCCCAATACTGTTGCATTGGGGATTAAACTTCAATACATGCACTTTGAAGGAAACATTCAAACTACAATACAGCACAAGCACAAAGAGGTGGGATGATGTGCCTCAAGTCAGACTTAGGAAAAAGTATGAATAATACAGACCTCCTGCCTACCAGACTTGTGTTTCCAAGTGACTCACAAAGACTTAGAACCACAGTAGAGAGGCTGCTTCAAAGTTAGTTGCTTTCACATCAGTGCCAGGAAGGACTCTTCAAAGCATACGCATCCTTATTTTTAACAGATTCCTTCAGAAAGTAAAACTCATACTTTCCTAGCAAATTAAACCCTGTTTCTTCTATCAATAAAACCACACCAAAAACCTGTCCTATAAATTTATCTTGGGTCTAGTGCTTGCTGTGGCTAAGGAGAGGGTTCAAGAATTACTGTGCTGCTGAGCAAAGCCTGGGAGATTAATTAGGAAGGATGCCAAGAAAATATCTCAGCCTATGTTCTAATCTCTCAGCAATCACTTCTCTCAGAACTGTTGCAGGCCTTGCCACACACCAGCCTCCATGTCAGGCTGACCTGGGCCTGAAGCCCACCTGTCATAAAGCAAAGTAAATGTAGTAATATATTACAGAGTGTTGCAAGATGTCTCATTGGTTTGGTTGGGTGGGTTGGGGAAGGAGTGGTTGCTGGTGGTATCTCTACCAGATTGTCACATTCCTGAGGACAGGAATCAACCCTGATACCTCCTTGTAACCTATCTATTGTACTCACCACATGATAAGTGCTCTTTGCCTTGTTTTTGAATGAATCTGTTCTATTCTTCAGCTTCTAGAGCTGTGCTGCCATTGACATTGCCTGGCTTACACCACTGTGTTGCCACAGCATCTGTAGGTCTCTCAGTTTCTACTTTTATGGACTCTGGACAGCCCATCTAGCTGAAATCCTTGATATTTTAGTCTTGATGCCAAGTCCCTGCCTGTAGTCTGTTGAAACACAGGGTTTTTCTTTAACCCCCATTGTGTTAAAGAATTTTTAGATCAACTGTCTAGCTGCCTCTCAGCACTTATGGATTTAGTTCCTGAATTGATCAGCTCAATCTGCAGCACACCTTGTTCCTTGTCATATTGTCCCATCTTCCAAATCACCTGACCTTGCTACCTGTCTGTTATTTACATTCTTATTTTTTCTGTTTGACTTAAAACCCATTCTCTTGTGATTCTCAGCCATCTGATTTGCTTTCTTAACCTGACTTTTGCCTTCCCTCTGGGGCTGGCATTTTCATAATCACCCTCACAGCCAAGGTGTCCCAACTCAATCTGTCCTCCCCTCCCTACAGTCTTCCCTGGGCGCAGCCAACCAGTAGTTCTGGACATGAAAAGGGAACCTGTGCACCTTCTGCATTGTCCCCTGCAGCCTCTTATCTGTTAGGTGTGGTTTGGTCTCCCAGCTGCCATGGTCCACTTCATCTTAACATGTTTCTCTGCTTTACAACCTTCAGTGTGACTGGAAGGCTCTTCCAATGACCTCTTTTTAAAAAAATTAGATTTAGTTACTTGCTGTCAAAATCCTGACAAAGAAAAAAATAGTCAAATAGCCTCATTCACTGGATATTTAAGAAAACCATCAGCTCAATTTATGCAATTCAGAATAAAGCAATAGCTCACTGTTTGCTGTCAGCCACTGTTTACCTACAGAAGGTAGAAAAACATAGTAATATATTTTTATTAGTTGTATGTTTTTCTGTAAAGAGTACAATACAGTGGATGTAATGACCCATGACATTAAGAGTTTGTTCAGTTGCTTGCTTGTACACTAAGGGCTCCAAGTCTAAATTTTATATTCCCTATAGAAGCCTCAAAATTAACCCAGACATGGACACTGTCCAGATGCTGTTCTATTTATTTGTTTTATTTATTTTTTATTTGTAGCACAGTACAAAACAGATGAGGATATTTTTGTTCTCAGTTAATTTTGAAATCACTCCGGAAAATATTATATATTGTTTCTTTGCATTGTTAAGAGGCTGCTCTGCTGGTTTGAAAGAGACAAAAGACATCTCCTAGTGAACACTGCCCTCCTCAAGGGGAAAGCTCTACTGTCTAACAGCTATTTTAAGACGTTGAAGATGCATTACCACAGGCTGCAATTACCCTGTGAATCCCAATTTGAATTGAAGTATCATCTCTCAAGGGCGTAATCCTAGGGTCACATTTCCTTTTCCAAAAGAACTAAACCATCTCTTTGACTATTAAGGCCGCTGCAGGCAATCTCATACAATCAAAGTTCCTCTTCATCTTTAAGTAAATAAAATTATCTTTAAAAATGGACAATTTGAAATTTACAAAAACAGTAACCAACAGCGATAACATGAGCAAATCATCCACACCAAGAAAAACTTCACTAATTATGCTCAAATATTGAAAAAAAAATGACATTTACTCATACAGATCCTTAAAGCATCACACTATGTGGCACTAAAAAATTATAGGAATATAGCTAAGATTTTTAAAACTTTGAATGGGCTTTTAAAAACCAATAACATCATGTCTTTATGCAACAATTACTGTTAACTATATTTGTCTTCTTCTAAATTAATGTCCCTAATGCTTGATGCCTTTTTCAGTCGATGGGACAGAATCTCGAGACCTGAAATATCCTGTCCTTATTCATGGTCTTTATTCCCTTCAAGAAAGACCACAGAAGACTCTAGCTGCATATGTGGTTTGTCCAGTCATGCTGTGTTTATAGCCTCAGAGACAGGCATGCACATTAAGCACAATTTGGCATCTTATTTTGATTTTGCCCTGAAGTTAAATAACAAATTTATAGGATGCCAGAATAAGTATCTCCTCTGTTTAAATTCTCTTCTTCGTTTCTTCTATTTCCTCATCTATAGCAAAGGTTAATCAATTTTGCTAAAAGGAAAGACTAAACAATAGCTCTCAAAATGAAATGATCAGAAATTATCACTTTTTCAAAGATGAAGCAATGGAGAAACTTAGAAACAGATGATTTACCTGTGTCTTCTGATTGCCAAGATTGATTCATTCTGATCCTTTCATGTTCTGCCAGTTCCCTGTAACTAAGAGTGTTTACTTGAATGATGCCATTTTTCACAACCTCACAGCCACTACCTGAGGTCAGGTGATCACCCTCTTCCTCTTCCCTGTGGCATCTTCTTAACTGGCTTCCCAGTCCCTACTCTTGCTCCAGATTTGCACCTGGCCACCCATTCTCAATTCTTCAGCCAAGATGAGAACTTTAAACTCTCACCACTTTATGGAGCCTTTCAAATTCTAACCCCTACTGGTACTGGCATCCTCATCATTCCTTACTCCCTGTTTGGTAATCCAAGCTCTAGAAATAACTGCAATTCTTTCTGCTCCTAGAACACACCATGTTCTCTCTCCCCTGCAGATGTGCAGACATTGTACTCTGGCCTGCCTAAACACCATCCCCTCTCCTCATTTCTTGGTTAACCCTTTCACACATGTGAAGTCTCAGCATAATTTTCATTTTTCCTCCATGCTTTTCTAGATCTTCATTTCTCACATGACAGATTCTATGCTGAGATGTATGAGAGATGTATTTTTTTCTATCACAGTACTTATCACATTTTAAGTGATGGGCTTAATATTCTCTTCTCCATATGAAAGCAGGGCCATGCCTACCTTGCTCACCATTATATAACAAGGATACAACTGAATAGCAGCAGAATAAGTGACTGGTTGACTAACCGGGTGGAAAAATAGATAGATAGATAGATAGATAGATAGATAGATAGATAGATAGATAGATAATAGGTAGAAGATATACAGATAGATGAATAAATGGATGAATAGATTTTTTTTAATGTGTGGACTTAGGATGGCTATCGGAGAGAAAGACAGAGAAGACTGAACTTGCAACTGGCCTTGCTAGCATCAATACATCTTAAAAACCATTCCATTGACTTCTGTTCACAGTAATTTGATTCAGGATATATTCATCACACACAAAGAAAAAAATGTTTAGAATTTCATATATATAACCAGGTTTTAAAGAAATGATTTTAAAATACCCATTTGTGTATTCATCCAGGTATATGACAGACACTAGTCTAGTCCTACAGGATAATGAGAAGAAATTTACTTTCTTCCCTTAAGGAGTTTAAAATCTAGGGAGAAGAGTGTACTATGCAATAAACTTTTTGCCATAATAATATTGTGTTGTCTTTAAAAAATCATTTTTGAAAATTGCCCTTAAAAAGACCCAAAGAATTTTAAAAATGATTGTGAATGGAAAAACAACACTTTAAACTTAAAAATTGAACATATTTCTAATTTGCCATATATTCAATCTTATGAATTCTATAAAGATTAAATACAGCATACCCACATGAGAAAAATAGCAAAATATACATGGAGGAAGCAGGTCTAAGACCTGGGACCTGGGAAAAAACGACCTAAGGAGGGTGGAGAGCAGAGACTTACCTAAATAGATACTTTCTTGTGGTGGGCCAAGCAAAACATTCCATCATGCTTTCCGGAAGGAGGTGAACCCTATCACACAATATATGGAAACCAGGACCTAGAGGAAGTGGCCTTGCCATTTTGGGATAATGGATGGATGGTGCTTCCCAGTGGTGAGGGGAAGGTCTTAGTTTCCCCCCCCAAAAAAAAAAAAAAAAAAGCTCAGGGAAATGGTCCTGTAGTGAGTGCTACAGAGCGAATCCACACAGAGCCAAACTGCCCAGAATTATCTCATGAGGGCGTGGTGGCATGTGCCTGAGTCCCAGCTACTCGGGAGGCTGAGGTAGGAGAACTGCTTTAACCTGAGGTTGAACCCGGGAGGCAGAGGTTGCAGTGAGCTGATATCACACCACTGCACTCTAGTCTGGGCGAAAGAGTGAGACTTCATCTGGAAATAATAATAATTAATTAACTAATGATTTGTAAATGCATCTTTATAGAAATAAAAACATATATTAACTTAAATAATAGATCTCATGACTATTGATTATGTTATCCAAGAAAGAAGTCTTCAATGTGTTGTAAAAGTTTATTGCAAGGCTCACATGAAACAGAAAATTCTGACGTAAATACCAGATTATGCTGAGAGCATTCAGTTATTTGCATTATCAATGGAATGTCTGGAAGTTTGAGATGAATTGAAATTGGCCATACAAGTGAGAAACAGCTTCACTAACATTGACAATCACTGAAGGGTGAAAATGACCTGAATTTCTGGAAAAGAAGGTCATACTTAATGATTCCCTATTAGCTGACTCCTATCTTATACAATTATCCAGAGGCAGCTACAGATACAGAAAATACTAGGTATAGTTCAACAATTACCACTCTCAGGTGAAAAGCATTTCATGTTGCATGGTTCCTTCATTTAAACAGGTTTTTAATTCCAAGAGATACAAAGACAAAGCTAAAAAAAGCAGTCTCTAAGAATTCCACCCCAATTAGCCATACCAAGATGCCACATGACTACATGCTATAAAGTAATTAAGTCTATCGTATTTACACAGCCACTTAATGCATAGGAAAAGAAGGGGACAAATGACCTCCAACCAAAGTTTTTTTTTTTTTTTTTGCCATGACCATGTACACATTTCAAGTGCTTTGTCCTCTTAGGCATGAACTGATGACAACTAAACATTAAAATAAGTACAGATTACTTAATTCATCTTCACCCCCATCAACAAATGGATAATGGAAACGCATTGAAATTTCTGCAAATATGAAAATTGCATGCCTATTGAGGCCAAATGTGAGAGGTTAATATCCCAAAGCAAATTAAGACACCCTAAGGAACTTAATGTTTCTAATTATTATATTATCCATCCTTGACACAAATTATTCAAATATGCTCTTTTAACTTGTTTTTGATAGTTTTTACCTATGGTTTTTATGCATATCTGAAAACTTAATGACTCCATGTCAAGCCAGGCCAACCTGAAAAGTTTCTAGCAAATTATTAATTTTAATGCAGGTTTTCTGGCAGACCAGCGCAGGAATGCACACCACTATTTACGAATGTGAGGGCTTTGTTGCCCTACTTCCCAAACAAGTCCATACCTGAAATCCAAGAGAATTCCCAAATAAATGCCACCATTATGATACAGATAACCAGGGATCATGTGTTTTACAAGAGTTTGCAATTGTAATCATTTTATCCTGATGACCCAGTAGAATCTTTTAAACTAAGAATTTTCATTTCCATTTCAAGCGCAAGACAGAGAAAGGAATAAAATTATATTTCTTCATGGGGACCAGCTTAGGCTAGAAGTTTACCCACTGGGTATTTGAATTGTAAATTTTTCCAGGCTATGACAGATGCCTGAGGATTTTACTGTAGAATTGGATCCATGAGACCAAGGAAATATCAGAGTATAAAATTGCAGGGATCCCAGGTAGATGCTTCTTGTTGTGGACCCGTTTGCAAATGTGAATAAGTATTCACTGGTTCTTAGATTTTACATTTCCATACCACTACCCTCTTTCTCTTTAAGTATTACACCTACAGTTCAAAACCTAGATGAGAAAAAGAAATTATAGACCACTTTAAGGAAAGATGTGCCTGATCCTCCAAGTCAGAAATGGAAAGGTCTTATTCTGAGCACATTGCCCCAAGCTATCCCTCCAGACTTGAGTAGCCAGTGTCTCACCCCACAGGATTTTCCTACCATTTTTATCTGTAGTTCCATGTGCCAAACTATTCTTGTAGACTTGTTTCATCTCCATTTTCTTGGATTCTCCAATTTGGGGGTGTAATGTGTTATTAAATGCCACTTTTCCTGCTTCAATGTAATCCCTCTGAAGTGAAGCACAAAACAACTCCAAGTCCGCCTCTATTTCGAAGAGAGATGCTAGTCTAAACCATTCCTTCAGGATTTTCCAAAAGATTGCAGAAAGTAGTCCCAAGTTGGTCTTTCCAGCATTAGCCGGTTGCTGACCTCAGCCTAAAAAAAAAAGACTGAAGAACTAACACTTCTACAGTATGAGTTGTCAGTGAGCCATATTGCTACCCACACACATCCCCAAGGAAGGGGAGATGGCACTTCCCCTCAACCTGAAGCCAAGAGAAAGTGACTTACAGAGACTTAAGGAAATTGAGATCCAGAAAAAAGAGGGAATGCACTGATTCAAGCTGCACTTTGACCCCAGGGAGGCTTGTCAAAGTCCAAACATGAGCTCTGTTAGAGGAAAACCTTAACACAGATCCCACGAAGAGGTCTACCTGGAGAGGCGAATGGACTCCAACAAAGGAGTGGCCATGGGAACCCAGGAGCAGAGGTGTCAGGGTCATGGGTGGCCAGCCCAGGAAAGATACTGTCCTCATCAGATGGGAAGCAGCCAGGAGGAAGTGGCACCAAGGAATCCACCAAAGCCTTGTCTAAGAGAAAAGGAGGCCGTGTGAGACTATTTGCTGTGCCCAGCAGCCACTCACACCAGATTGCTGTTCATCTGCCACTTGTGACTATCCCCTAAGCCCAGCCTTAGACACATCAAGGACAGAAGCCATCCAGAGGAGGAAGGGAGCATAGACAACAGAAGCTGGCAGTGCCTCCGGAAATCTTCATAACTTGATTTGGACTCCAGCTGGCAGAGAATACATGATGAGTTTGGGGTTTGATATTATACCACACAACACTGGGATTATGCAATTATCATACAGACTGAATGCTTTTGTGCTGAAAGCATTCTGAGGCAGGGGTGGACTCAGGTTTTTTCAGTCCTGGGTTAATCACTTTGAGGACTCTCTTCAATAAAAAAAACATGAAACTGTGATTTTAAAAGCAGGAATAGAGCCTTGGAAGAGCCCCACACAAACGGAGAACCCTGAATCATTCTCCCAGGTTAGGGAATGAGACTCTTTTCCAACTTCATTGCCTTTCATTGTAAGGATTCTGGCTTAGAAATAACATTGCTAGGAGGAGCCAAGATGGCCGAATAAGAACAGCTCCAGTCTACAGCTCCCAGCATGAGTGACGCAGAAGACGGGTGATTTCTGCATTTCCATCTGAGGTACCGGGTTCATCTCACTAGGGAGTGCCAGACAGTGGGCACAGGACAGTGGGTGCAGCGCACCGTGCGCCAGCCAAAGCAGGGCAAGGCATTGCCTCACTCGGGAAGTGCAAGGGGTCAGGGAGTTCCCTTTCCTGGTCAAAGAAAGGGGTGACAGACGGCACCTGGAAAATAGGGTCACTCCCACCCGAATACTGCACTTTTCCAACGGGCTTAGGAAAGGGTGCACCAGGAGATTATATCCCGCACATGGCTCAGAGGGTCCTACGCCCAAGGAGTCTCACTGATTGCTAGCACAGCAGTCTGAGATCAAACTGCAAGGCGGCAGCGAGGCTGGGGGAGGGGTGCCCGCCATTGCCCAGGCTTGCTTAGGTAAACAAAGCAGCCGGGAAGCTCAAACTGGGTGGAGCCCACCACAGCTCAAGGAGGCCTGCCTGCCTCTGTAGGCTCCACCTCTGGGGGCAGGGCACAGACAAACAAAAAGACAGCAGTAACCTCTGCAGACTTAAATGTCCCTGTCTGACAGCTTTGAAGAGAGCAGTGGTTCTCCCAGCACGCAGCTGGAGATCTGAGAACGTGCAGACTGCCTCCTCAAGTGGGTCCCTGACCCCTGACCCCCGAGCAGCCTAATTGGGAGGTACCCCCCAGTAGGGGCAGACTGACACCTCACACGGCCGGGTACTCCTCTAAGACAAAACTTCCAGAGGAAAGATCAGACAGCAGCATTCGCGGTTCACGAAAATCCACTGTTCTGCAGACATCGCTGCTGATACCCAGGCAAACAGGGTCTGGAGTGGACGTCTAGCAAACTCCAACAGACCTGCAGCTGAGGGTCCTGTCTGTTAGAAGGAAAACTAACAAACAGAAAGGACATCCACACCAAAAACCCATCTGTACATCACCATCATCAAAGACCAAAAGTAGATAAAACCACAAAGATGGGGAAAAAACAGAGCAGAAAAACTGGAAACTCTAAAAAGCAGAGCGCCTCTCCTCCTCCAAAGGAACACAGTTCCTCACCAGCAATGGAACAAAGCTGGACGGAGAATGACTTTGACGAGTTGAGAGAAGAAGGCTTCAGACGATCAAACTACTCCGAGCTACAGGGGGAAATTCAAACCAAAGGCAAAGAAGTTGAAAGCTTTGAAAAAAATTTAGACAAATGTATAGCTAGAATAACCAATACAGAGAAGTGCTTAAAGGAGCTGATGGAGCAGAAAGCCAAGGCTCGAGAACTACGTGAAGAATGCAGAAGCCTCAGGAGCTGATGCGATCAACTGGAAGAAAGGTTATCAGTGATGGAAGATGAAATGAATGAAATGAAGCGAGAAGGGAAGTTTAGAGAAAAAAGAATAAAAAGAAACGAACAAAGCCTCCAAGAAATATGGGACTATGTGAAAAGACCAAATCTACGTCTGATTGGCGTACCTGAAAGTGACGGGGCGAATGGAACCAAGTTGGAAAACACTCTGCAGGATATTATCCAGGAGAACTTCCCCAATCTAGCAAGGCAGGCCAACATTCAGTTTCAGGAAATACAGAGAATGCCACAAAGATACCCCTCGAGAAGAGCAACTCCAAGACACATAACTGTCAGATTCACCAAAGTTGAAATGAAGGAAAAAATGTTAAGGGCAGCCAGAGAGAAAGGTTGGGTTACCCACAAAGGGAAGCCCATCAGACTAACACCAGATCTCTTGGCAGAAACTCTACAAGCCAGAAGAGAGTGGGGGCCAATATTCAACATTCTTAAAGAAAAGAATTTTCAACCCAGAATTTCATATCCTGCCAAACTAAGCTTCATAAGTGAAGGAGAAATAAAATCCTTTACAGACAAGCAAATGCTGAGATTTTGTCACCACCAGGCCTGCCCTAAAAGAGCTCCTGAAGGAAGCACTAAACATGGAAAGGAACAACCAGTACCAGCCACTGCAAAATCATGCCAAAATGTAAAGACCATCGAGACTAGGAAGAAACTGCATCAACTAACGAGCAAAATCACCAGCTAACATCATAATGCCAGAATCAAATTCACACATAACAATATTAACTTTAAATGTAAATGGACTAAATGCTCCAATTAAAAGATACAGACTGGCAAATTGGATAAACAGTCAAGACCCATCAGTGTGCTGTATTCAGGAAACCCATCTCACCTGCAGAGACACACATAGGCTCAAAATGAAAGGATGGAGGAAGATCTACCAAGCTAATGGAGAACAAAAAAAGGCAGGGGTTGCAATCCTAGTCTCTGATAAAACAGACTTTAAACCAACAAAGATCAAAAGAGACAAAGAAGGCCATTACATAATGGTAAAGGGATCAATTCAACAAGAAGAGCTAACTATCCTAAATATATATGCACCCAATACAGGAGCACCCAGATTCATAAAGCAAGTCCTGAGTGACCTACAAAGAGACTTAGACTCCCACACAATAATAATGGGAGACTTTAACACCCCACTCTCAACATTAGACAGATCAACGAGACGGAAAGTTAACAAGGACACCCAGGAATTGAACTCAGCTCTGCACCAAGAGGACCTAATAAACATCTACAGAACTCTCCACCCCAAATCAACAGAATATACATTTTTTTCAGCACCACACCACACCTATTCCAAAATTGACCACATAGTTGGAAGTAAAGCTCTCTTCAGTAAATGTAAAAGAACAGAAATTATAACAAACTGTCTCTCAGACCACAGTGCAATCAAACTAGAACTCAGGATTAAGAAACTCACTCAAAACCACTCAACTACATGGAAACTGAACAACCTGCTCCTGAATGACTACTGGGTACATAACGAAATGAAGGCAGAAATAAAGATGTTCTTTGAAACCAACGAGAACAAAGACACAACATACCAGAATCTCCGGGACACATTCAAAGCAGTGTATAGAGGGAAATTTATAGCACTAAATGCCCACAAGAGAAAGCAGGAAAGATCCAAAATTGACACCCTAACATCACAATTAAAAGAACTAGAAAAGCAAGATCAAACACATTCAAAAGCTAGCAGAAGGCAAGAAATAACTAAAATGAGAGCAGAACTGAAGGAAATAGAGACACAAAAAACCCTTCAAAAAATTAATGAATCCAGGAGCTGGTTTTTTGAAAGGATCAACAAAATTGATAGACCGCTAGCAAGACTAATAAAGAAAAAAAGAGAGAAGAATCAAATAGATGCAATAAAAAATGATAAAGGGGATATCACCACCGATCCCACAGAAATACAAACTACCATCAGAGAATACTACAAACACCTCTATGCAAATAAACTAGAAAATCTAGAAGAAATGGATAAATTCCTCAACACATACACTCTCCCAAGACTAAAGCAGGAAGAAGTTGAATCTCTGAATAGACCAATAACAGGATCTGAAATTGTGGCAATAATCAATAGCTTACCAACCAAAAAGAGTCCAGGACCAGATGGATTCACAGCCGAATTCTACCAGAGGTAAAAGGAGGAACTGGTACCATTCCTTCTGAAACTATTCCAATCAATAGAAAAAGAGGGAATCCTCCCTAACTCATTTTATGAGGCCAGCATCATCCTGATACCAAAGCCAGGCAGAGACACAACCAAAAAAGAGAATTTTAGACCAATATCCTTGATGAACATTGATGCAAAAATCCTCAATAAAATACTGGCAAACCGAATCCAGCAGCACATCAAAAAGCTTATCCACCATGATCAAGTGGGCTTCATCCCTGGGATGCAAGGCTGGTTCAATATATGCAAATCAATAAATGTAATCCAGCATATAAACAGAACCAAAGACAAAAACCACATGATTATCGCAATAGATGCAGAAAAGGCCTTTGACAAAATTCAACAACCCTTCATGCTAAAAACTCTCAATAAATTAGGTATTGATGGGACATATCTCAAAATAATAAGAGCTATCTATGACAAACCCACAGCCAATATCATACTGAATGGGCAAAAATTGGAAGCATTCCCTTTGAAAACTGGCACAAGACAGGGATGCCCTCTCTCACCACTCCTATTCAACATAGTGTTGGAAGTTCTGGCCAGGGCAATTAGGCAGGAGAAGGAAATAAAGGCTATTCAATTAGGAAAAGATGAAGTCAAATTGTCCCTGTTTGCAGATGACATGACTGTATATCTAGAAAACCCCATTGTCTCAGCCCAAAATCTCCTTAAGCTGATAAGCAACTTCAGCAAAGTCTCAGGATACAAAATCAGTGTACAAAAATCACAAGCATTCTTATACACCAATAACAGACAAACAGAGAGCCAAATCATGAGTGAATTCGCATTCACAATTGCTTCAAAGAGAATAAAATACCTAGGAATCCACCTTACAAGGGACGTGAAAGACCTCTTCAAGGAGAACTACAAACCACTGCTCAATGAAATAAAAGAGGATACAAACAAATGGAAGAACATTCCATGCTCATGAGTAGGAAGAATCAATATCGTGAAAATGGCCATACTGCCCAAGGTAATTTATAGATTCAATGCCATCCCCATCAAACTACCAATGACTTTCTTCACAGAATTGGAAAAAACTAATTTAAAGTTCATATGGAACCAAAAAAGAGCCCACATCGCCAAGTCAATCCTAAGCCAAAAGAACAAAGCTGGAGGCATCACGCTACCTGACTTCAAACTATACTACAAGGCTACAGTAACCAAAACAGCATGGTACTGGTACCAAAACAGAGATATAGATCAATGGAACAGAACAGAGCCCTCAGAAATAATGCCACATATCTACAACTATCTGATCTTTGACAAACCTGAGAAAAACAAGCAATGGGGAAAGGATTACCTATTTAATAAATGGTGCTGGGAAAACTGGCTAGCCTAATGCAGAAAGCTGAAACTGGATCCCTTCCTTACACCTTATACAAAAATTAATTCAAGATGGATTAAAGACTTAAATGTTAGACCTAAAACCATAAAAACCCTAGAAGAAAACCTAGGCATTACCATTCAGGACATAGGCATGGGCAAGGACTTCATGTCTAAAACACCAAAAGCAATGGCAACAAAAGCCAAAATTGACAAATGGGATCTAATTAAACTAAAGAGCTTCTGCACAGCCAAAGAAACTACCATCAGAGTGAACAGGCAACCTACAAAATGGGAGAAAATTTTTGCAACCTACTCATCTGACAAAGGGCTAATATCCAGAATCTACAATGAATTCAAACAAATTTACAAGAAAAAAACAAACAACCCCATCAAAAAGTGGGCAAAGGATATGAACAGACACTTCTCAAAAGAAGACATTTATGCAGCCAAAAGACACATGAAAAAATGCTCATCATCACTGGTCATCAGAGAAATGCAAATCAAAACCACAATGAGATACCATCTCACACCAGTTAGAATGGTGATCATCAAAAAGTCAGGAAACAGCAGGTGCTGGAGAGGATGTGGAGAAATAGGAACACTTTTACACTGTTGGTGGGACTGTAAACTAGTTCAACCGTTGTGGAAGTCAGTGTGGCGATTCCTCAGGGATCTAGAACTAGAAATACCATTTGACCCTGCCATCCCATTACTGGGTATATACCCAAAGGACTATAAATCATGCTGCTATAAAGACACATGCACACGTATGTTTATTGCGGCACTATTCACAATAGCAAAGACTTGGAACCAACCCAAATGTCCAACAATGATAGACTGGATTAAGAAAATGTGGCACATATACACCATGGAATATTATGCAGCCATAAAAAATGATGAGTTCATGTCCTTTGTAGGGACATGTATGAAATTGGAAATCATCATTCTCAGTAAACTATCACAAGGACAAAAAACCAAACACCACATGTTCTCACTCATAGATGGGAATTGAACAATGAGAACAGATGGACACAGGAAGGGGAACATCACACTCTGGGGACTGTTGTGGGGTGGGGGGAGGGGGGAGGGATAGCATTAGGAGATATACCTAATGCTAAATGATGAGTTAATGGGTGCAGCACACCAGCATGGCACATGTATGCATATGTAACTAACCTGCACATTGTGCACATGTACCCTAAAACTTAAAGTATAATAATAATAAAAAATAAAAAATAAAAAAAAGAAATAACATTGCTACAGAGGAAAACATTTTACTAAAAACCTAATTACCAAGAGGCTATAGACACTTATTATTGGGATATATATTTTTTAATTTATTTATACATTTAATACACACATATATATTATATATAACATGCATTATGTGAGTGCATAATTTTACATGTATTATATAAAATTTTAAAATAACTGTGGCTTTTAAGTCAAATATAAATTCATTAGCTTAACTTGTTAAGCAGTCTTCATTTAGTGGTTAGATATTGCAGATGAAATCTTCATCAGTTGTCACCAATGACCAATAATAATCCCAATCTAGAACACTTAGCATGCAATTACTATCAAAATTATGTGCCTGTTCTTCATATGAGTTGACATATTTTGAGGATCTCCTAACTTCTTGACAGCTTCCTCCGTTGGTAGTTTCATAACTCCATCATTAACTTTCCCCAAAGAATCTAAAGTTCTCCTTCTCTCACCACCCCACCCCTACCCCTGCCAAAACTCTTTTCCTATTTAGTAATGGCCTTCTCAGAAAACCTCAAACAAATGTTTAATGTAGAGCAAATGGGCCCCTTACTATGGTACCAGACTATCTGGGGGCCTGTATGAGCCTTCAAGTTCATACTGTGTCCTTCCAATAGGGAAAACAATTAGGCAATTCAGTAGTGGAAAAGAGTGAAGTTACTGATGTCGTTGCGTTATCTAAATAAGTGTTGATTATACAGATTTTTCTCAGTTTTCAACTGGTTGTTCATACTGCAGAAAAAT
The DNA here is from genome assembly GCF_000001405.40 of Homo sapiens. NCBI lineage: Eukaryota > Metazoa > Chordata > Mammalia > Primates > Hominidae > Homo > Homo sapiens. Next base: position 17,748,819 of record NC_000005.10, on the reverse strand, counting down.
GAGAGACATAAGATTATTTTATTGAACTATAATCATCAATCATCCTAGTTACAAATACAGATGATTTTCAAGGCTTAAAAAAGATATTCAAGGGAAAGTATTCAACATCCCCCCATCCTGTGTTCTATCAGCTCTCTTTGTAGGTTTCCACCAAACCTACACCCCTCCCTTCCCCACACCACTCTTTTAGGTAAGATTCTGCATTTACCAACTTAGAAAGGACAATTTACATTTAGAAAGTGGAGCCATGTAGAAAAAGAGAAAAAGGAAAAGTGGAAGTTAACGCAAGATCCAAACTCCTGAACCTGCTGTTCCAGTAACTATAAACCCTCTATGGTGTTGATTTCTAACCTTTCTGTCTCTGAGTGCCATCTGCTAACTTTCTAGCTCACTCTCTCTGGAGTTTCAGTGATTATGTAATCCTGCCAATTATTATTCATTCTTCCTCATTCCCCTGACCTCACCCTTTCTTTCTCTCATCAGCTTTAACCCTGATCAACCAACATCACCCCTCTCCTGAATGGGCCCTCACTCCCATGCCCGTTTCTTTGTGATATTTGTCTGAGCAAACTACACCCTCTTATTCCATGGCTGCCCCTGTGTGGCTGAACATGGATGAAAGAAAACACAACTGTTCTAGCTGGTTTTGACTTACGAGTACAATCACTCACCGCCAAGTGATCCTTCCATGCTGAATTTGTAAAGGGGTTCTAAGGGGCTGCTCCTCATTTATTAATGACATAGAGGTTTCTCTAACCAAAGTGTAGTACCCCTCCTCTTTGGAACAGTTGTCTGACTTGTGGCACCTCCCTTCAAGTGCCCCGTCACCAGCAGAAGAGCTACTGCATTGGCCTGCGGATGCCTTGCCCATCATAGAGGACATTCAACCTGTTCATGAATGGCTCCGTAGCACTGCATGCTTCTGGGGACGATGCAGACAGGGCATGAACCTCACATGATTGCATTTATCCTGAATGTCTGTCTTGAACTTGTCTATGCTGAGCACAGGAGACAGCAATACAGAGAATAGGCCTCCTGCAGGATCTCATGGTTAAAGGGGACCTCCCTGCTCCAGAGGCCTTGACGTACTCCAAGAAAAGCTTCATGGAGCTACTATGTCTCCCCAGAACAAACTCCCCCACTATACTGAGTGACCATTTCATTCTGGCTTTTCTCTTATTACACTTCCAAAACTCCCTAACAATCCTCACTCTCGGCCAACAACTTTGATTCCTACCTCTCTGAGAAATGTAAGCAGAATGAGTGACAATTTCTCAAGCTCCCACGACAGGTCGATGCCCACCTACCTGCGTCCAAGTCCAAACCCTGCCCCTTGTCTTCTTCACTGAGCTCCAGCTCTCCTTGGCCTGTGCTGTAGTTCCCAGCCTTTCATGCCCACTCAAGGTCACTCAAGGTCATTGCTCTGGCAATTCTCCCTTTTTCTTCGGAGTCATCATTTCCTCCTCTTTACTAGATGAAAACTGTTAGCCTATGAACATTTCTCCCAGACCAGAGTGAATGCATACGGCAAAAAACTCTCTCCTGGCTCTGCTTTCCTTTCTAGCTATCCCTTTCTCTCTTTTCCTCAATAACAAAACTCTTTGAAAATGGCCTTTTATAACTCACTGTCTCCAATTTTTGTCCTTCTTTTCTAACAAACCCTCTCGAATCATAATTGGTCTCTATCACTCATTGAAACTGCTCTTCTCAAGGTTACTAATGGTCTCCATATCACTAACTCCAACGATCATTTTTTAGTACTCATCAGACTTTACCTATCAAAAGCATCAACCCACCTGATTACACTTGGGTCCTGGAAACACTTTCATCCCTGGGCCTCCAGATCAGTAAACTTACATTGTTTTCCATCTCTCTGGCTGCTCCTTCTTGTCTCCTTTGTGCTCCTTTTCTTCACCCCATTTCTAAATGTTGGCATTTCTGAGCCTCAATCTTTGTATCTCTTCCCTATGCTGTCTTCACTCACTCCCTTAGGGACTTCAGCCAGTCCCATGGCATAAAACACCACCTACATTCTGATGAGTCCCATGTTAAAATCTCCTGCTCAGACTCGTCTCCAAAATCCAGACCCAAACTTATATATCCAGCTACCTACCTGACCTATCCATTTGAGTATATAGGGGACATCTCCTACTTAATACGTTCATAGCTGATCTCCTGGTTTTCCTTCTCAAACCAACTCACCCTCAGCCTTTGCTCTCATCAGTAATGGCTATTCCACTCTTTCTTTATCTATTTCATGTAGTCTATCATAAAGCAATCCCAGCTGAGTGCAGTAGCTCACGCCTACAATCCTAGAACTTTGGGAGGCAGAGGTGGGAGGATCACTTTAGATCAGGAGTTTGAGACTGACCTGCACGACATAGTGAGACCTCATCTCTACAAAGAAAATTAAAAAAAAATAAATTAGCCAGATGTGATCACACATGCACCTGTAGTCCCAGCTACTTGGGAGGCTGAGGTGGGAGGATTGCTTAAGCCCAACAGGACAAAGCTGCAGTGAGCCATGATCATGCCACTGCACTCCTGCCTGGGCAACAGAGCAATACCCTGTCTCAAAAAAAAAAAAAAATCCCACTGATACAATCTTCAACATATATTCAGGATTCTTCTACTTCTACTTCGCATCCCTCCCATTACCATAACTCTATGATCCAAAACATCATTGATTCTCTTCTGAATTATGATACACATTTCCTCATGGAGTTTTCTGCCTCTGCACTTTCCTCTCTTCAGTCTCTTCTCAATTCAGTGCTTGTAGAACACAATCGGATCATGGGACTCTTTCACTCAGAAATTCTCAAACGCCTCAATCTTATGCTGAATAAAGGGAGAAGCCTTTCTGTTATGTGTATACTCATACACATTCTCTGGCCCTTTCTCCTACTAACTTCTTCCTTGTACCTTGTCCTTCAATCAGACAAGCCCCATTTTTCAGCCTTGAAGATGCCAGAATTTCTCCAAACACAAATTGTAGGTTCTTGCCATTCCCTCAGCCTGGAATGTTCTTCCTTGTATGCCTGTATGGCTTGCTTCTTCACTTTCTTAACGTTTCTACTAAAAATCCCCTCCTCAGGAAGACTTCACTAGCCACCACCTCCTCCAGCAGACATCAAAGACTCTCTGTCGGTTCTTATCATTTATAAGCGTCTGACATATTACATATTTTACTTATCATCTGCCTTTTTATTGCCTACTTTTTCCACAGGGTGAAGGGCAGAGGATCATGAGAACTAGAACTGCTTCTCTGTTTTATCCACAAATGTATCCTCATCAATCAAAATGAGTGTTCATGGATTGTAGATGTTCAATAAATCTATGTTGCTATTTATTGGGTTTGGAGAAGGTTTGGGTTGGGATTGGAGTTTGGGATTGGAATGGGGTTTGTTTGGGGTTACAGAGGGGAGGATACGGAGAATGGTTTCTCAGCAGTCAGAGGAATGGAGAGATATTGGTAGAGAAAGGAACTGAGAAGGGGATTTTTAGATGTTACTGCAGTGTAAAAGTTAGTTTCCCTCCAACTTGCTTAACAATATCAACTTGATTGCTTTTAATTAATTTTTATGACCAGACTATACTTCTATTAATGTTATCTATTCAGACACCATACTACTTAGAGCCAGGTTTCTGAATTAAATAATATACAATTTGAACAGTTTACTTTTGTGTATTGAAAGTATAGTTTTTCTCATTAAAAGAAATTTCAAATAATCCTTGCTGCTAAGCTTTGTTCTTTTAACCTCTGCGCAACCTTAACTCAGAATTTAACCCTATTCACCAGCCTCTGTAAGAAATTCAGTTGCATGGAGAATATGATGATTTGTGCAGGATTGTTGAAGGTTCAGTTCAACAGATCCCTAGGATTCCACACACACACACACAAATCTCCATCTAACCGTCCCTTTTTTCCATCCCCAGCCATTGTCTGTCCTTACCCTGTAAAACAGTGCACCCCCTTCCTGTTCTTTCTCCCTCCCTTATGATAACAAGAGACCCTCTTTTTTCCCCCTGAAACCTGGATTTAGAGACCATCATCAGGATTTTTTTTTAACTAATGTAAAATTCACTAAAATGGCATTATTCACAGGCAAAAGGTACATTGAAGAATTAAATTAAAGCACAAATTTACCTTGAGGAATAACCCATCATAGGAAAAAAAAAGAAGACATAATGGCCCCTCAGCCAAAAACTTAATCCACTGTGTAAAAATTAAATAAATGTCACTTATTGTTAGAAGGAACCATCCTGGAAATATGTACTAGTTTCCTTTGTTTAAAATTTAAGTTTCTTAAATTCATGAAAGTTACAAAACTAAAATTCTAATACGAAAGCAGAAGCAAAATAAGCTGAAGTTTACTAAGAATAACCAACCAACTTAAAAGGCTGGTTATCAATAAGATAGGTAATAAATATGAGCCAAAACCATTTTCAAAAAGTAATAAGATAATCCCTGAAGGAGTGATGGTCTTGCTGTGTTGCCACCGCAAAGCAGAGCCTTGGAGTCCAGGATAGCCCTCAGCCAAGATGAGTCAGTGCAAAAGCTTTTCCATTTTACCCAGAAAAGCTTGACTCCTGAATCTCATGGAAGTGCCAGAATCAACATAAAGGAGCTGAATTTTCCAATCCTGAACAGGAGGAGAAGTTCCTGTTAACCAGAAACTTCAGTTACTCAGAAACCAAGAAGAAACTCTGGAAATAAGGGAGCTTTTTCTCCGCATAGTCGCCCAGTTAGTTGTTGTGTTACACATAGATATGCTGTTGAACCCCTGTGGCCTTAGTGTGACTTACCCACTTTAAAAATTCCTGTCTTCTCTTTTCAGGCAGAGCCATTTAGCTTCCTCTTGCCTCGACCTTGCCTAAGTAGACTAGCCTGGACATACTCTCTTGATTAACTGAAAAGCCCCACGGATGAGGAATCTCAGAAAGAGCTACTTCACTGAGATGGAGTGTGCCGCTCTCTGGACTCAGGAGCAGCTAGAATTAGTATTCATTTTTGCTCACTAGCTAGCAACTTTAATTTCTGCCACTCAAGTATGCAGTGCTTTCTATGACGTGGTGACTACTTTAAACAGAAATGCAGCCCATTTAAAGTGGTAGCATCAGATGAATCACTCAGATGTGTGCTGAAAGAACATGTGAGAGTTCAGGAAGGAAGATCAGGGCTGCAGAGCCACAAAAAGCCCTCATTACGGGATGAACAGAAAGGTACTTAGAATGGTGTGATTGCCATTGGCAAAAAAAAAAAAAAAAATCCTAGGCGGCTTGAGCAAAAAGAGAAATACATTAATCCATGGAATTAATGGAGCACTTATAATAAGAAGCCTGGAGTGGGATTAGGGTACAGGTGGGAATTCTGTGGACTTGGACTACATGAGATTCTCCCTGCTCCTTATTTCTGCATCTTTGTGCATATCAGCTTCATTTTCCCTCTCCACAACTCGTGTCCACACAGCAAGACCCATAGGCCCTGACAGCTCATGTCTGCAACTCCTTTCTCCTGACTCCTCAATATGAGTTTAAGTAATAGACCTGTAATGCCAATCCTGAATAATAAAAGCTGCTTTACAAAGTCTGGTTCAGAGGTATCATAGAACATTCTCCTGATATCCCACATCAGATTCCTGGTGCAAGCATCGCAATACATTTTATACCATTACCTTTATTTGGCAGTGGGTTAGTTAATTCAAGAACAGGAGCATTCTTATATATTAATTTTTACTTAAGTTTTATGCCATTTTCCCTTTTGAGAAAAAGAGCATAAAATTTTGTAGTATCAAATGTTTGAGTATAAGTTTAATGCATTAAATTTTGTTAACTTTACAAATAAATTAAAATAACGGCTTAATATTTATCTTTCCATAATATTATATTTTTATTTTATGTGATTATATAATATGTGTTTGTGTTTTAACTGAAGGGCTTATTTAGAGAATATAAGATTCCAGCACTGTGTAATCTCTCTTTTTCCCAGTGTCATTACAAATCGATAAGTCACTGAAGATGAATTTAACAGCAGCTAAGTGGTGCATAAAATCAGTTTTTCAGTTTGTATTTTCAATAGTAAAACAGAGTTTATACAATACCCACGATTTGGTTTCATTTTTTGCTGAGTCTCAGGTTTAATTTAAGCCAATGGGACCTTTGGAGATTGGTGTTGAACTGATTTAGTAACATTCTTGAATTTCTGCATTCCAAATAATAGGTACTGATAATCATGGTCACATGTGAGTTAAGTCAATTAATATGCTCCTCAAGCTTCTCAAGCTTATTGTTCATGGCCTCCACCAAGCTCAACTTCCTACTAACTCACTCCTTCCTGGTCTAATTTTGCAGAAAACTATCAAGAAACCTGCAAATCATTCAAATCATTATCATCCACTCATAATTTCTAGCGATAAGTAATGCAGATTTGTTACATTCCTAAAGGAATTGCTCTGCAGTAGTTAACCCTATTATTTTTTTCTCAAGAAATCAGAGTGGGGAGAAAAGGAAATGGACTAAAATATCCAGGCTCCCTTCCGCAGTAAGGTTCTGAGAGAGTCATTGTTAGAATTAAATCAATTAGTAGTACAGATAATTCAATAAATTGTGGTTGGAGAGTGGATGTTCTCAAATCATATTTTAGAAACTAATTATCTCCTGGTTCCTCAAACGGGTCAAAGAGCATTCAGGGACCACAAATGGAGTGGGTATGTCAGTGGTACTCCTCAGAGCTTGGGATGGTTTTACTGCTGCAGGAAAAAGAAACCTACTAGCAAAATCCAGATAAACAGTCAAAGGTACTAATCTTTTCTTAAGGCACAGCATCTATTTGCCCCTTGGATTCTGTCTACTGCCCTCACACATGGGTGCCTATCCCTGATTGATATGGTTTGACTCTGTGTCCCCAACGAGATCTCACCTTGAATTGTAATAATCCCCACATGTCAAGGGAGGGACCAGGTGGAGATAACTGAATCATGGGGGCAGTTTTCCCCGTGCTGTTTTTGTGATAGTGAGTGAGTTCTCACAAGATCTGATGGTTTTATAAGGGGTTTCCACCTTTGCTCAGCACTCATTCTCTCTCCTGCCGCCCTGTGAAGAGGTGCCTTCTGCCATGATTGTTAAGTTTCCTGAGGCCTCTCCAGCCATGCAAAACTGTGAGTCAATAAACCTCTTTTCTTTATAAACTACCCAGTCTCAGATATTTCTTCATAGCAGCATGAGAACAGATTAATACGCTGATTCTGTGGAAATGTATGTACGCTTTAAGGGGGGTCACTGAAATAAATCACCATTGATTTTGGAAAGGACTTCAAAAAGGGTAACTGAGTTTTGTCTGAGTTAACCTTACTTGGCTGGAACTTTTCATTTCCTCTGAGTTAAGTCAAGTCAGGTTAATATGCTTGTATTAGGCACCTTTTGTTTACCTGGAACTGAGAGAAATAACAAGATAATTGTTATCTTGTTATTTGTCTCCAAAGGAGAGTCTGCAAGCCAAAAACAAAAGCTTCATAGGAGCCAAATATCATCTTATGGATTTATTCTCTAATTGCGATAATAGATTTTCACATTATTCTGAAAGATAATTATTTCCCAGAATTGTTATTAAAGTGTTTCAATAAAACATTCTTACAGATAAAATTTATGCCCAAGAAGTTATGATAAAATCAACTCATGAAAATGTTAAGTAATCATGGTGATGATAACGATGATGATGATGATGCCAATGATGATTTCGAACAAGATGTAGTCAGTTTTGTTTTGTATGCATATTTTGATATGCAAATTTGTTTCTACACCATTAATATATTAGCAAAAACTGTGAGCATAACATTAATTTTACATTTCACAGTTATGTATAGTTATTTCATCTTTAAGGAACATCAGGTGAATGCAGAAAATGGCACTCTGCTGAAACTGAGCCTCAAAGGAATACATAAAACATACGAACACCGAGAATTTGTCAATTATCTCAGTTTACTCATGGGTTATGAGCCATACCCTTCTAGTGTTACAACTTTCCCATGACTTGAAAATAACTGTCCTTCCTCTACTTCACAATAACTGGCAAGCTGCAACTCTTCTACAACCAAACTTCAAGTATTTTTCAAGATAAAAGGCTACATTTATTCTATTATTTATTTCTTAACCACATAACATATGTAAGACTGTGCTACTTGTTTTAGTATGTTCCTATCTTATTTATGTGTCAGTGACTTAGTTTGGCGGTATTATACCCATAGCCCCATTTTTCTCACAAGCCCTTTTATGTTATGTAATTTTCCACAACAGTGTGACTTATAGGAACACATTTGTCATGTTATAACAGAAGTGACAGTACTTATACTTTTCATATTTAAAGCGGGTTCATCAAAATAAAAACAACGAACCACGCAACAACATAGTATACATTTTATATAACACAGGAAAATCCATTCTTGGAGCACACCAAAGGCCACTCATTCATTTAACTGAGAGAGTCTTTTATAAAATTAGTATTTTTAAACTAGATCCACAGCTTAGATCTACAGCATGAGCCGGACTTGTATTACAAAAAGACTCTAACATAGCCTTCAATGTCATTGTGGTTTCCATTATCCAGGTAATTTCACCACCATCTCTTACTTTTCTAAAGTACCACCTTGAGAATCAATATGTACTATGAACAGCCAAGTGGGAAGGGAAGGGTGGACTAATGAAAGTAAAAGGCTTAAAACAAGGTTAATGCTGCTTAAACGGAATTCAATAACTTAATTCACTTTGTGCTTAATATCCAGAACAGAGCTATTTGCAAATATCCCATTCTTGCATGTTTGCAAAATTAGTTTCTGTAGTTACATATTATGCAACACAACACCATCAAAAGGGATGCACTGGTGCAATTTATAGCAACACAAAAATGTTTGGTTTTTGTTTTTTATCTTGGGAAGGAAAGGGGGAACTATTAACTAAGCAAATGGTTTATATCTTTTTTTCTAAGAATTTAATAATGTCTTGGTTTTAATTTATAAGGCAATGGTTAAATATGACTGTAAGACAAAGTTTACATTTGCTAATGAACTCTATTCAAAACCAGTGGCACAAGCCTATGAAAAAATTTTGTTTTTGTTGTTGCTTTGGGGTGGTGGGTGGTGGTGGCATACGCCACTTTGCGAAATCAATTAATTTCTGTCCTAATGCTCAGTCAGAGCAAGACAATAAAAAGAAAATAAAAATATGAGCATGACTACTAGTTAAGCTGTTAGACCTTTAAAAATATATATTTCCATGCTCCACTGTTTTTACTTTCTATCAGAAAGAAGGGTAAACTAGACAACAAAAAGAAAGATAAAAATTTCATTTTCTCTGCTTGTTCCATCAGTCAGAGTAGGACTGTGTTTTCCAGAAAGAATCACCAGGTTTATTTCCTGTATCCTGCGTTTTCTCTTAGCTTTGGGTCCACTGGTTTAGTCTACCTTGTTCTGACCACAGAAAAATCCTCATTAATTTGCTTTTGCCACTGGACTCATTTATATGACAACTGCCATGGGTTTTGCCACTAATGTGTACAGAGATGGGATCTTTGCACCGGTAGGTCAACACCTCACCACCATCCCAGCTGAATTGACACAAATGATCTTCTCCAAATTTTCCCACTCCAAACTCAAGATGGTTTCACCTGCAACTGGAAATCTCTCCTGCAACTGAAAATCTGTCTCCCAATTCCCTATGTCCTTAATGAAGATCTTGTCACTCCCCACTAAACTCCTCCATAATGCCACCACACTCCTACTACCAAGCAATGACTAGGATTTTCTCCTTATTTTCCACAGGGTAAAATTAATCATGGATGAAGCTGAAAAAGAAAATATGATTAATTATTTAAAAGTCATCCCATTTTGCAAGGTCCCTTCAAGAACTAAGCCTGCAAAATCTGACTGGGATCAAATGGAGTTCATTAACACATCTAAAGAAATAATATGTTGATACAAAGTATGCCTGATGAGTTATGGAAGATTTAAAAAGAGAGTCAGAAAGTTACATGTAAGCTGCTCACCAAAGCATTTTAAACAGGCCTAGCCAGACACAGAATACTGTAGTCCATTGTCAAGGTCTTTCTTTTTGTGGCGGTGTAAACAACAAGCTAATTTAGCCTGTTGCCAAGAAACACTGAAGTTCATCAAACTAACAGTATGTTCTCATGTCACCCTGGAAAGTCTTCTGATTATAATGGGCTCCCTATATGGGATGACCTATAGGGAGAGAATGTGCTGGTGCTGAGGACTTGAGTATTCTGATTCCTAAGACAGAAGTTTCACTATAAATAGATAAATTTGCATTCTATGTTTGTATGTCAACCTTAAGCTCAACGAATATGCATCTGAATCTTAGAGACAGATGATTCTCAATTGCATCACACAGTCAGGCTTCCAAGTCTGTAAACCTAAGCACCTCAATAACTTTCTAAGATAATGCTACTGAAGAAGGTGTTTGGGGGAAAAAGCTGCCATCTGAAAGGTATCTTTGGTGGTAGGGGTCGGGGAGACAGCGTGGCATGCTGTTTGAATAAGTGAAGCACTTCTTACTGAGATTTCTAAATTCCCAACCAATTCATTTGTCAGGTCATTTTGCTCCTGACCCACCTGACTTCATACAGGAAAGGCCATTTGAGTTTTCTATGGTGGGAACACCTACTCACTATCATTATCATGGATACCATGTTTAACTTCTCTGATATCAGTATCTTCCGAAATGAAATATAAACTTACCATATTCGTAGATAAAACAAAAATGTATTCCTACTTGAGGTTTACTCCTTCCGCAGGGTCGGCTTTTTCTTTTTCCACCTGATACCAGCTCTCTCCCCTTTCAACAAAACTCTATGTAGGATTATATTAGGCCGTTCTCGTGCTGCTGATAAAGATATACCCAAGACTGGGTAATTTTAAAGAAAAACAGGTCTAATGGACTCGCAGTTCCATGTGTCTGGGGAGGCCTCACAATCAGGGCAGAAGGTGAAAGGCACATTTTACATGGTGACAGGCAAGAAAGAATGAGAACCAAGAGAAAGGGGTTTCCCCTTATAAAACCATCAGAACTTGTGAGACTTATCCACTACCACAAGAATAGTATCGGGGAAACTGCCTCCATGATTCAATTATCTCCTACTGGGTCCCTCCCACAAAACGTGGGAATTATGGGAGCTACAATTCAAGATGAGATTTGGGTGGGGACACAGCCAAACTATATCAAGGATGTTCACACAGAAATAAACATCTTTAAGATAAAAATCTCCGAGTTGTGCTACTTACCGGCCTTAGCCCATTCTAGGCATCAAAATATTCACTTCAGTAATCATAGTTTGTACCCAATCAGCTATCTGCATAAACGGTATCTATAGAACATTACGATTGTGGCAAATAATTTAGCTGCAAAGACTGGAACCATACACTATTATGAAAACAATATAGAGTTTATTTTGTGACTATGGTAATAGAATATGTTCTAAGTAAATATATCAGATTCAAATTCTTTCCAAAGACCTGGTGATTACTCTCAATCTGCATGAGTAACAGCAATGTTATGGAACAGCCTGGATATTTCCAATGTGTTCCCCCAATTGCATTTGTCCCATGACCACTTGCTGGAAGGTTGGAATATTGGCCACTTCTTCAAAAAGCTTATTAAAAAGTTTCTGACTTACTAATATACCTGGTCAAAATAATACTTTTCAGAAGAGAATATATATCAACAGATTTGTATGGAAGTCTTTGCCAAGCTGCAAGTACCTGTCTCTAAAACCTAAATATTTTCTGCTCCTTTTTTTTCATTTTCTTTGACTTTAAGGTTTTCTCTAGCTTGATCAACTCTCCTCTTTAGGATCACTCTCCATTCTGCTGTATAGACACAATACTGGGCTGGGTGTGAGGTAGAAAGATGAAAAGACAAGCCCTTCCCTCAGGAGGGAGATCACACACAGTCATATAAAACAATTCCATCTAGAAAGAGAAATAAGCCAATAAGCCACAGTGCCAAGTGATTTGTGACAGGTCAAATGCATTTATAGCAGAAAATGCATTTTGAATGCATTTTGAACACATTTTGAATCAGGATGGTTTTTAAGATTTCTTAAAGAAAGAAAAGTTTGAATTCAGCCTGATATGATGAACAGATTTTAAATAAGCAAAGAACAAAGAGGAAAGAATAGCTGGGAAAAGGGTAGATTGAGAGGGGTGGTGGGAAAATGGCATATGCCAGGCATGGTCAGGATATAGTGAAATACCAGAAGAATCCCATTTGTTGACATTCATCTCATAAAGTCACTGAGTTTTTTTGTTTGTTTGTTTGTTGCTGTTGTTGTTTTCTGAGGCAGTGTCTTGCTCTGTCACCCAGGCTGGAGTGCAGTGGTGTGATCTACGCTCACTGCAACCTCCGCCTCCCAGGTTCAAGTGATTCTCCTGCCTCAGCCTCCCGAGTAGCTGGGATTACAGGCATGCACCACCACATCCAGCTAATTTTTGTATTTTTAGTAGAGACAGGGTTTTGCCATATTGGCCAGGCTGGTTTAGAACTCCTGAGCTCAGTGATCTGCCCACCTCAGCCTCCCAAAGTTATAAGATTACAGGCATGAGCGACCACACCCAGTCTGAAGTCACCGCCAACCCTAACACAGCCTCAGAATTTCCATGCCAAACGCGTTCTGAGCAAGGCAGTCAGCAGAAGATTTTAACACAAATAGAACCCTTCTCTCAACTGATGTCTTCTCTGGGAAATATTTGCTGCCAGAGAAGTCAAGCCTCTCTCCCCAAGACTGTGCTCTCCTTCCTCTCCACTTCCTTTATCATCTAGAAGAACATACTTCTTCCTCTTGCTATCCAAGTATCTTCCCGAAGGTCACTTCTCCTTTTGAGTGACTCACTCTGAGCTCTTCATGCGCCTACCATTTTGCTATCAGCTGCTGAGAAAACTGATATTTTTTCAACTATATTATTTCATTAGTTAAGCAGGAAGAGAGTCTGCTTAGGAGAACCATGAGAAGTCAGAATGGAAAGTCTGATTTCAGCCAAAAGGGGGAGAGTTCTTAGAGTTTAAACGTTTCTGAGGACCACTTAATAAGTCATAAGCAAAGGAATGACATTAAGAAGAGTGCTATGTGAACAATCAGGTGCTAAGGTCAGCTTCCTGGGCTTGCAACCTATGTAGGCACACAGGGCACTGGGCTCAGAAGAGCCCTACACATCGTTTAATGCTCTGCTCTCACCATCTTGAAATTCTTAATATTATTTGAAAATGGGGTCCTGCATCTTTATTTTGCAGTGGGTCCCTCAAATTATGTAACTGGTCCTGCAGGGGCAGACTGGTACCCAGCTCCTAGCAAAACACCTGGTACAGTTATTTTTTTTAAATAAATTGGTAAGAGGAAATTGAAAAGGGAAGACATCAGAATCCAGAGGCTTCTTGCAGATGTCTCAGTATTAGGTGAAGCCATACAGAGTACTAATCAAAGTATAAGACTATGAGTCAGAAGATGTGGCTTCTCGACCTAGATTTCTCTCTACAACCAGTGTCAACTTTCTGAAGTTTGCTTTCCTTACAGGTAAAGAAGTCCTCATTGGGGACTTGCCTAATAATAGTAGAGTATACTCTTCCAGAAGAAAAAACTAAATATGGGAGATATTGCAAAAGATATATACAGTCCCCAGCACTTTGGGAGGCTGAGGCGAGCGGACCACAAGGTCAGGAGTTTGAGACCAGCCTGGCCAACATAGTGAAACCCCATCTCTACTAAAAATACAAAAAAAAAATTAGCTGGGCATGGTGGCACGTGTGGTGGCCGCACCAGCCACTTGGGAGGCTGAAGCAGGAGAACTGCTTGAACCCAGTGGGCAGAGGTTGCAGTGAGCAGAGATCGTGCCACTGCACTCCAGCCCGGGGGTCCATGCAAGACTCCGTCTCAAAAAAAAAGAAAAAAGAAAGATATATACCGTCATTTTAAAATATATGGAATTTGAGAAGTAAGGAAGCAAGGTCCACAGAAAAGCAGGGGGATGAATTTGTCCACAAGGAAACAAATAAAAGTTGGGGACAGGAGGAAATTCAGCCTAAAGAGTAACTGGCCCAATCCAAGAGTGTTCAGCAGAAAAGAGGCACTGTCACTAGATGATTTCTTTAATCGAATAGTGCCTTCTTCAAACATTTAACAAAAACTAAAGCTACAGTTTCTGGTCACATTTTATCAACTACAACTACTTTCCCCCTTCGTTCATAAGTCCAAAGGGACCTATTATTCATGATTTTGGCTCATTTATATTCAACTCACTAAAATATTACTTGTGAAGAGATATTTGACGCTAAAGAAGATGTGTGACCTCTTTATAGACCATTTATCATCAGAAGTCAAGAAACAGTGTGGTGCCAAATCAGTAAACACGATAGACCCGCAGTGTAAACTTAACTTCAGACCTTTCTATTTCAACTGGCTCTGAAGTTGGCAAAGGGTCCATTTCTCCTTGAATCCTTGTTAATGTCCAAAATGCTTTGAAGGGAATAATAAATATGGATTTATGTTTGGCAAAAATGTATAGTAGAGTAGATATTGAATTTGGTCTGTGGATTGGAGCCACATGTCTCATTAAACCATGCTGAATATCAACTTATGTGGCTCCTTCCCTGTCTTTGCTACCCACTTCAAAGGAAGTTTTCTGGCCATGTTAAACACCCCATTGACTGCAGAAACTCAAATGTAAACATATGGTTCCTGGCCTGACAGTTTAATCAAATCCTGATATCCCCCTATTTTGTTGGTCTCTAAATATATACTCACAAGTAGAAATATATTGTTGAGACTACTGATCTTGTTAGTATATTTCACAGCTGTTTCAGAAATCACCACTGAGTTTTACTTGAAATATTTTAGTTTATCACTAACAGAATTCATTACACTTATTTGTTTTATATAATCTTTAATCAAACCTCAAAAGTGCAAGAGTACCTGTAGTCTATTAAGCCCTCAGTTAGGAAATGTCCCAAAGAGCCAATTATTATTATTTCTGTGTGCCAGTGAAATGCCATTTTCAATTAAAAAAAAACTCTGTGTTCATTCCAGAACTTCAGTTCAGTATTAAATATCAGGCCATCTGTGTACCATTTATTATTTGTATATTTCTAATGTGCTTACGGCTTTGCTCACTCATTTATGCCCATTTTTGTTCATTCTATTATTTATTTGATTTAAAAATATTATCTATTTTGGTACCATTTCCAAATGTTCTAATTAGTTCTAGTTTTTTCTACATGTTTAGCATGGAAATAAATGTAGATGTGATGTTCAAGATCAGAATTAAATAATGAAATTCAGCAGATTATTTTCTTCAAATTACGTGTTCTGTTGTCCACCAATGTAAGAGGCATTCTTCCTCCTCCAATATTATCCTTACTCTTTGGCTTGTCAGATGCCCTTAGCACCTCTAAACAAGTCAGACACTATTTTGGTTTTCTTGACAACATTATTGTTTGTGACAGTACTCTCTCAGGAATAAAACCAGGTTTGTTGAATCTCTCTCCTTTTTCAAATGACTAGGAAAGTACTTAGAGGCTGAGAACAGATGAGCATATCAACAAACAGGGTGATTTCAGAGGAACCTAGAAGCTTTCTAACCTCATCTTCTATCTCTGCCTAATCATTAATGTTTAAAATTCTCTCGATAGAAGGAAAAGCCTTTACTCAACATTTAGATAAGAGTTTACATTCAACTATCCTAGAAAGGAATATCATGGTGTCTGCAATTCACACTGGAAGATGATTAGATACTTTGCATGGTGCTGGGTCCCATCCTCGTGGCACAAAATGCACCCACTGCAAAGGGGCTAAGTGGTGCTTTTGGGTTCAGTAAGAAACATCTTCAACTCCCTCAAAGCTAGTCAGTTTTGCCTAAATTCAGCCCTCAAAATAAACATAAAATTCAGTTTGTGCCAAAATAAAGGGACATGGTGCTGTGGTATTTGCTCCTGTAAGACAGAGCTCTGAGCCCGCTCATCACATGCACGCTGCATCAGCCCAACTGTGCCCCAGGCACAACCTACTTCATCATGGAAATTGCCAGATTCATCAAGCTCATCACATGCCACAAACTGGAAAGAATATTCTCTATGCTTAGCTCTGTAGTCTCACGCCCAAAAGCACAACAATATGACTCAGTGTTCTGTGCACTACTGTAAGTGTGAAGCCATGAACAACAAAACCTTAGTGAAGCAGATAAAACAGATGGCCTTTAATCCCAGCTTTGAGGGCCAGTAGAATGTTGATCTCCAGAGAGGGGAGTGTGTATGCCAGGAGTGCACAAATCAATTTACAGGACTGGAAAGAAAACACTAGAACTCCTGTTTTTATTTGTATCTTAACCTTTTAAAATTCTGTTAGCTATGTGTTTTTAATGTATACAGTAATGCATGTAGATGACTTATAAATATATATATATAACTATATGGAGTTAAAATTGTTATAACTACAACTATATAGTTATGTGTTACACATATCACATATATGTGTAAGACTATAAATATGTATGCTGACAAGGTTTTAGGACTCATACCTAATAGAATAAGCCTTTGATACAAGGATAGAAATCTTCCAAGCAGACTTAAACCCCAATTCTTTCCCTATCAACATTAAAGTCATTTACAAACCCTTCCCACCACAATATCTGAAGACATTTCTATACACCTGGGGAGACATATTCTGCAGCAATTGCTGTTTTCAGAGCAATTCTCAAGGGTGACTATCTCACATTAGGGAGGAAAAACACTCCGAGGTTTCCACAGAATTTTGAGTTGAAAAATAAAAACAAAAATGGGTCAGTATAAAAGCAGCTCATGGACAACTTTGTAAATAAGGAAGAGACCACTAAACTGGGTAAGGGGAGAAAATAATGCTTATGTCATAACCAGAGAAAGAATATGTTGCTACCAACATAATTAATGATGCCAGGAAACTACTAGACTAATATAAGACATAGAGATGACCAAAGCATATCAGCAGATGACTCAAACAAGCAAAACAAAAGAAAAAGAGAACTGAGGCCAAAATCAATACAAAAATGATATGCTGGCCATTCATTTCAGAGATACTTAATGCTGACCTAATAATATTGTTGGCGAGATCCAACTCCCGCCAGAGTTCCCCCTGACACTCCTTATGGCGTCCATGTTGGTGCGGTTAGGGCCATCATCTGTGTCTCATTTTCTAGTGAATATTAGTTGTTATCAAAAAAAAGTTGATGAATTTAGAAGAAATTTCAAGTGCCTAAATTTAAGATACTTCAACCAGTTGGCTCCAAGTGAAATTTGAAGTCACGTTTTTGTACGGACAAGATAAGTGGCACTTTTTGGTGAATAACTTCTGAAAATGGCCCATTAATATGTGATTGACTCACTTCTTGGAGAACATTCACGTAATTTTGTGGAATAAGATTTTTAAAATGAGTTTTGTGCCACTATGTCATTCTTTACTCTGTGATGTTATGATAGTAAGTATATTATTTATTTTTGTCATATTTGGGCCACGTTTCTTTAACATTTAAGTCATTTTCATCATTTCATCATTTCTTTATCATTTAAACCAGGGGTTAGCAAACTATACAGCTCATGGACCAAATCTGGCCTGCCACCTATTTTTGTATGGCCCTTGAGCTAAGAATGTTTCTTTATATTTTTAAATGGTTGGAAAAAAAATCCAAAGAAATAATATGTTGTGATACATGAAAGTTATATGAAATTCAAATTTCAGTGTTTATAAATAAAGTTCTATTGAAACACAATCATGCCCACTCTTTTACATATTCTCTATGGCTGCTTTCACACGACAACCCAAAGTTGTAATGTAGATTCATGGCCCCCAATACCAAAAATATTTACTATCTGGACCTTTACAGAAGTCTCCTGATCCCTGATCTAAATGGACCAAAATCCAGGATTGCCATTTCTCACCTTTCATTTAAGATCAGACTGCACTTGCCTTTTTAACATCTATTTTATTATTTCAGTAATTTTTCAAAGGAGATAAATTCTGAATGGTTTCACTGTGATTAGGCAGGAAAAGAAAGGCAGATTTGTCTTATGTATCTAGGACTATTCTCATTGTCTGCATGGATCATTTGTTCTATTGCCTGTCTTTACCTTAATTAACTTTCGCAGGTAATTAAGGCTGCTAATCCATTTCACAATTGTACCACCCTCTCCAGCGCTTTCTCAGAACAGGTACAGCCACAGTTGAATCTGAGCCAGACCTGCTCATTTAAGTCTTATAAAAATGAGCTTAAGGACATGTTAAAATGGAATTAGATTGACAGAGGAGACATTTTGTGCCCCCTCTGAATGCTGATGCCTCCCCTTTCCTGAATAGTATCCACCTAATGGCTTTCTCCATGGCAGGTCTAGGTGGAGGGCCCTTTCAGAAACATGACTAGTAGGAAGTTATTCCAGAAATACGGCTCTCACATTCAACACGATCTCATGGGACAGCTATTACACAGGACTTTTTAGCTCTTAAAAAAATCACAAAGGCGATAAAATGGCAATAAAAAGAATGAGATGTGATAGGACAAGTAGTTAGAACAGGCTTGGGATTTGAGCCTCTTCTCTTTTATATGATTTTTCTTCCACCTTTGCTTTTTCTCTTCCTGGAATCCCCTCATCTCTTTCTTTCCTGGCTTATTGTTGCTTCAAGTCTAAGCTCACATCACTACCATAGTTATGTCTCTTCTCTGTTATTCCAAAGCAGTTTGCATAATGCCTTTATTAAAACACTTGTCCCATTATGTTACTTGAGTTTTTGTTTAGTTTTTAATGTATCTGCATCTTTACATGGATGACTAGCTTCCTAGAGGAAGAACCCATGTTTTTGCATCTTTAGTCTTCAGCCCTAGCCCAGTATCCAGGGCATAGTAAGTGCTCAATGAAAAGTATTTAAACTGAACTCACTCTTCTCTGTTTTACCATTTTAAATCTGTCTTTTAAAGGTCAGTTATTTCTCATTGTCATTCCCACCAGTAGCATAGTGATTGTGACTGTATTTGAAACAAATATTTGGCCACAATATTTTTTAAAAAACTTATCTATGTCAATTACGCAATGTACCATTTAAAAATTAAAATGTTACTTGTAGTACCATAGTGATTAATTTTAACAGCTGAAACCCCCCTCTCTCTCTCTCTCTCTATCTCTCTTCTAGTAAATACTTAGCAAAGTATAAGAGACATCCACAACCTCTTGGCTTCCCACCATGCAAGCCTCCTCGTGATACTCCCCAGTTATGTTTAAGGGCCTGTCTTTCTCCTGTGTTATACAGTGTTTGTTTGTTTGTTGGTTGGTTGGTTGGTTGGTTGGTTGGTTGGTTGGTTTTGAGATGGAGTTTCATTCTTCTTGCCTAGGCTGGAGTACAATGGCGTGATCTCGGCTCACTGCAACCTCCGCCTCCCGGGTTCAAGTGATTCTCCTGCCTCAGCTTCCTGACTAGCTGTGATTGCAGGCGCCCACCAACATGCCCAGCTAATTTTTGTATTTTTAGTAGAGAAGGGGTTTCACCATGTTGGCCAGGCTGGTCTCGAACTCCTGACCTCAGGTGATCCACCTGCCTCGGCCTCCCAAAGTGCTGGGATTACAGGCATAAGCCACCGCGTCCAGCCCTGTGTTGTACAGTTCTGGAGAGAGGTTGTGCCTGGACCATCCCAGAGGCCAAAGAGACCGGCCCTCTGTCCTAGCCCCTGCAGCCAGGAAAAGCCAAGCAGACCCCTCTTCTGGGCCCTTGTCTGTCTTGGAAGCAGCAAAGGATGCAGGGACCCGATGAGAGTTCTTCCCACGGGGACAGTGCCGCAGTCCAGGCTGCTCCTGCTGGTGACTCCCAGCACAGTTCCTGATCCCAGCCTTCTGGCTTCCCATGGCCTCTGCTCACTTTCCAGATCCAGACCTAGAGCCTGGCAGATTCTCCAGTGTTATTGTTCCAATAAATTCCTTTCTGTCTAAGATGACAAGTGTTGTTTTCTCTATCTTACAAACAAACTCCTGTCTGATAAAGGCTGGAGCAGACAAGACTGTTGAGGCTAAGCTCAAATTTAGCCGTATCTGGAAAAAATGCCAATGTATTTATTGAATAATTATCATCATCATCAGTATCAGTGTTATTATTATTATTGTTTACACACAGTGATCCTTCACTATGTGGCACTTAATCCTCACACAGCCCCATGAGGTGAGGCAGACACCATCATCCTCGCCTTGTGAACGAGAAAACGAAGCCAGAGAGAGGATAAATTAGGGTTGTGTTGCTGCACGGCTGCTAAGTGGAAGATCTTAGCTCCAGACTTAGGCAGTCTGTCTTTCACTCTCAAAATTAATAACAATACTAGTGTAGTCATTCTTATTAATAACAATGTACCCAATATTTGTGTGCTTGTTATACACCAAGCACTGACCATTTATTACTCACAATTTTATATACCTCATAAAGTGCCTTATAAAGTATAGTCCGTACTTTACAGACAAGAAAACTGAAAAATAATGAGATTTTTGACTCATTAATGAGTTTGACTGGCCCAATTTCTGACAGCTAGTTGTCACAGGACCAACATTTGAAAGCCTGCTGTCCTGAGCCTCACACTCCTCACTCTCCACTATGGCCACTTTGATGACAGCTGTGAGACTGCAAGTGACTTGAGCTCTAAGTCTATCACTTGCATAAACTGGCTTGTGACTTTCACTGTGACTTAGTGTCTTCATCTGTAAGCTGGTAATCATATTAACAGGCATCTAACATAACTTACAAGGCTTTTATGAGGCAAAAATGAGATGCAATTTCAAAGTGCTTTGAAAACTGTTGGTCATGTGAACAGTCATTTTTAATTTTTTTTTCACCTGGATTTTTAAAAATGTGAAAAGCTTTGCCAGGCTGTTTATTGTCATCAGGGTGGGGTGCCTAAAAGCAATGTGTACGAGGAGGACCCCCATTTATGAAACATCACTGAGTGTATTTTAGACAGCTAGACCACAGGTTATCTTTCCCCCAACATGTCTATAATATGTTTCCAGAGTGTGCTTCCAAAATGCAAAACCTGAAGAGTAATGTGAGGTACATAATGTAGGCTGAGATTAGGCATTCTCAACTGGGGGTGACTTTGCCTCACAGGGAACAGCTGTCAATGTCTGGAACATTTTTGGTTGTCACAACTAAGGCAGTATGACTGGCTTTTAGCGGAGAGAGGTCGGGGAAGCTGCTCATCATTCTAGAATGCACCAGACAGCCCTCCCCACAAAGAATCATCCAGCCCAAAATGGCAATAGTGCTGAGGCTGAGAATCCCTGGTTCAGCCCTTGCATCACTGTTATCTAGAACTTTGTTACAAAAGAGGCTTTTGGCTGAGAGCAGTATATTTCTGTTGGGCTTTGTGCTTTTTCCTGAAATGGCATCTGGAGAGTTTAAAGGACACAGATCTGCTTAGGCCGCATGTGGATAATTGGGAATCACCCAACATAATTGCTTTTATTCAAGGCTTCTTGCCTAAATGACCAGATATAAAAGCAGCAGATGAATCACTTAACACACGATATCAAATTTCAGTTACGCAAAATTGAAAGGAAAGCCAAAGGGGATAATTATTGTTTCTTTATCAAGCATCAGAACAAACACCAAAACATTTCATAACTCCAAGACAGAGGGGGAAAGTAAGGTAAAAAGAAAGAAATGAATACAGTTTCTACTTTCAGCCCTAAAAAGCAAATTATAGGAAAGTTAAGCTCCATCAAAAACAAGATTCCACTCTCAGCCCAAGAGCAAACTTCTTTATTCAGACTTCCAATTTATTATCTAGTACATAAATTCCAAAAGGCCAATTTTGTAAGAGAAGATCTAAGAGATTGGGCATCACATTAATTTCCTATTTCCTGCCCTTGCATTCAATATATAACTGATGCTGGAGGTACCCATGATTTCACTGTTCACTGGTTCTGAGCCTCAGTTTTCCCCTCCTCATTCGCAATGACAGAGTTGGTCCCAAGGCCTCTTTCAGCCCTAAACTGCCTTGATGCTATGCTAATACCTTCAACGATTTACACCATCAACTGGTACCACCTAAGGCTGGGCTCCTATAGAAATCTGAATACAGATAGAATGAGCTCACAGCTCACTTAGGTGCACATACCTCCACTGGAAACATACCAGAATAAAATAATTCTTTTAGTGCCTTAAGATCTGTAACTGTATCATGTGTCAAGGTAAGTATCAGCATAATTTAGAAGCTACATCAAAGATAAAAGTTACAAAATTAACTTTCTTATTATTCTTCTATATGGTAATAGATTTTATACCTATAAAATGTGTTGAAATAGTCTGAAAACCTCCTTCGAGAGGAAAACATATTCTCTTGAAGAAATTAAATACTAACACTAACAAAATTCATAGTAAGAAAAATATAGTAAAATGCAAAAATTTCAAACATTACTTGTTTTAAAATAAGATTGCAAAACAAGACCATTTCTTATATACATACATAAGAAGAGAAGATCATTTTATATATATATATATGTAAAATATGGTCTACATATATAATGGTCTTCTATTCATAAAGACAGGTAGATAGATAGATAGACAGACAGACAGACAGACAGACAGACAGACAGACAGATAGATAGATAGATAGATTATATATATATATGACCATTTCATAAATTTTATATATTTTTTCAAGAATATATGTAAGACTATTTCACACACACACACACGATTCTGCCAGCTTTAATGGCAGGTATCAGCTCTCAATTAACTATCTCCCAGCTCTCTGGAATTGTTTTGTGGAATAATATGGTGTTTAGGAACATGGGCTCTGCATCCAGACTGTCCAAATTCTTTCAGGCCCAACTCTGCCATTTCTTAGCTATGTGATCTTAGACATTCCTTAGTCTTCTGCATCTTAGTTCTTCTGAAAAATTGGGATAATAATAGTAACTCATAAGGTTGTTGTGAGGATCTAATGAGTTCATTTATGAAAATGCTTAGGAAAATGCCAGGCATATAGCCCTCATTGCATTCAATTACCATTGCTAGTAACATTACCATTATTAGCATTCACACTCGCATTGCTGTTTTCCATTCAGGGCATCTTGTCTCCCTGCCAGACCGTTGCCTCTGCTGCTGATACTCCTCATAACATCATGCTCTTTGGACACTGATGTTTATGTCCAGTCATTACTATAGGAATCCCTATCCCCAGTCTGGGGATGGGACATTTTCTGTGTTGGTTTCAAAACTTTTAATTCCCTACATTCAAGTGAAACCTTTAATAGGCCATGCTGGAGGAGAGAGGGCATGGATGGATTAGGGAGCAGAGAAGATAACTTGTGACCAATGTACATGACCAGACCCCTCCCATCTTTCATGGACACAACTCTTTCCTTTGTCTCTCAATCTCTCTCTCTCTCTCTCTCTCTCCCTCTCTCTCTCTCTCTGTCTCTCTCTCTCTCTCTGTCACACACACACACCCAGCAGCCACCACCACTTGAACAGAGCCATATCACTGTTTCCATGCCCAACACCCTCTTTCCTGGGTCCACTACAGATACCTTCATGCTTTAAAGTCTAGAAGCAAATCACCCCAGAGTGCAGAGATGTTTTTATTAATCTGTTCCTGCTGATGTCCTTCTCCCAAATCCATCTTTCAAGAAGATTGAGGATAAAAATGCCTGGTGTTCTTGGGAAGCCCAATAGTGGAATTGTCTAACTTTATAGGCTCAAAAATACAAGTAATATTTTCTGTTAAAACTCTCACTCCCCAAACTTAGCAACAGAAGAGATTCAGATAAAATTGGTGAGATAGGACTGTTTGGAGAAAAGTTACACATCAATTTCAAAACTCTGACAACTTGGTATCTAAAATTTGGGCCCTGAATAGCTGAATCAGAATGCTCCCTGCTTTCCGAATTACTATTGGAATCCTCACTCTCCCAATTTAGAAACTGAATAGATTTGAATAGCAGGGAATAAATGTATATAAGAGAGTTCAAAGTTGGTGTATTTCCTAGAATCTGGATTGTTCCTCTTTTCTGTAGTCTCCTCATTAAGGTAGAAGTGAAGAAATATAAATTTATTTTATAAAGCTGGCACACTCTAATATCAAAATCTGGAAAAGAGAGTATACTAAAAAAAAGGGGGGGGAGAAATATGGAAAAAAATAGTTTCCTAATGCTTGCTGTCTATAGCTAGGCAAGCATAATTTTTTATTGCTATTGCCCTGCAAATAAAAAGCTAATCAAATATGATATCTCATAATATATGCTCCTGTTCTTCCAAAAGCCTTATACTTCTTTCATCTCCTAAGAGGATAAAGATTAAAAACTCATCAAAACATCTGAGGCCAAAATATTCTTAATTAAAAACTTCTCTCTAGCTAATTTTATCTTTCAGATTATATCTTTAATCAGGCTCTTTCAAAATTAAGGTTTGGATTTATGCATTGTTTGGAATTTTTTTCAGTATAATTATAAAAATGCATTGATCTACAAATAAATATGGAAAAGCTCCTTGCATTTGAGACTAGCAAAACTCCATACCACTTAAATAATTATTTTAAGTAATGTTTTTCAATGATGAAATAATAGAACTAGTGTGTATCCACATGAGCATGAGCCATGGGGCACGCGTAATTAGTAGTACCGGCAGAAATCATGGCCACTGCTCTCCTCTGAGCCAAGTGACTCTTAGGACTCCACCCCTTGAGCGAGTGAGTGGATTGGCCAGCTTAGAGATAGTGAGTCAGATGGGAAATCAGGATTCACATCCCTGGGAAGGAGCACAAAACATGTAGAACAGATGCCCACACAGATGGAGGAATAGGGGACAGCCAAGGACCAAAGTATTTAAAGGGCTTTTAGGTTTATTGGACACAAGAAGCTAATTGAATACGTTAGGGGAAGGAGCAACCCAATAGAAGCCTAAGACCTGTTTTCCCATGGACAACACATGTAACCTACACAGCCCTCCCTCTTTCACTTCACTTTCAAATATGAAGTAAAAAGATTGGAGTAGATGAACTGTAAATCTCCTTTTAGTTCTAAAATTTAATTATTATACACAAATCACCTCCTTTTACTCATTTGCACTTGAAAACCGTCAACTATATTGGCTTGTAGAGGGAAGCGCTGAAACACAAAGATTAAAAATCATCCCTAATGAGCTTTGACTGTCATGATGTGGAGCATTTATGGCAGTATCTTCATATTATGTTGTAATTATACTATTTTTAAAATTAATAATTTTAATTTGGTGTTTGATTTTAAAAGATAGAAGGTGACCCAGAGAGAAAGCAGTAAGAGAAACTAAAAAGAATAAACAAATCTGTGTTTGTATCACAACCATCTCATAGGGCATTACAGAGATCCATAAATTATACGCTGCTTTATCTCTAGCGTTATTGACCTTTAGTTGTTGTCCATTCTGTGTTGATTAAAAAAAAATCATTCAATTATGAGTGAGCCATTGTTTTTGGAATCACCTTGCCTTTACCACTGTATTAGCAGAAAGAGAAAATAAAGAAAATTGATAAAAAGCTTTGTGTAAAAAGCAGCATATAATATTTTCTACTTTCCACTATTTCATTCTAACGATATAGTTTCAAGATCATGAAGTAAAGGCCAAAATGACATCAGTGTAGGTAAAAGAAAATTGTAGAATCAGATTCATTCATGTATTTGAACTTGACTTATTGTTAAACCAATATTTTATTAGTCTAGCTATCTTCTATCCTGAGGTTATAGAACTTATTTAAATTTGCACCATTTAAAAAACAAAGGATAGTTTTTCCTCTTTCATAATGGTTCCTGTAGAATTATTTTTCTCTGAGTCTCAATTTGATGCAAATTATTCAATGCAATTTAGATTGTACTAACTGTTGGTTTTTATTGGCCATATTCAAGCTAATCTAGTCGTGTAGAGCCTGGGCTCTTTCAGGTACTTCACAGTAAGAAGAATTGTCTTCCTCTTCCTACCTTTTGAGTGGAAATTTGCATATTACTACTTCAACTACTTTGACATTGCACTTTATGTTATTTAAACTTATATCATTTGGCATGTGGCCTTCTCCTAAGCTGGCCGACTGATCTCATTACTTCATTTTTATGAATGTCAGAATATCATTTGTTAAAGGAAATCTCACTTTTATTACCTGGTTCCAACAAATGAAGTGGTTGCAAATGTGTTATGTGCAAGCTATATGTGCCAATAAAATTTATTTTCTGGAAGGAATGAAAGCACACATAGTATGTCATTTCCTCTTTACTGGTCTTAGAGCATGAGCAGCATACTCAAGCAAGAGAAGGGAAGATTGTAACGCAAATTGTTTCCTGGAAACTCATAGTGCTCCCCGGCAAAACAAAATGTAGGCAAAAAAGGGGAGAACTCTGGATAGACAAATATATTTTAGCCAAACAATTTTCTTCCATTCTTTTCTCAGTGGCTTAATTACTTGACTAACAAGTTTGCTTTTCTAGATGTTCTTTAGTGTTACTATTGCACTAATTTTGGAGAACCTACAAGCAAATGTTCAGATTTTCACGTAAGTCTGCAAAATTTCATTTGATTTCAGCACTAAATAAATGTCTACTATGTAAATTTAAACTATGGTTAAGGTTTTTGAATGTACCCTTTGCATAGGTTTGGGGGATCTATTTTCCATCCTCTGCTTGACCTCCCTTTAAGCACTAGGTCTCTTCCACAAATAACCACTTTTGAAAGCTGTGAGTGTTTCTTTTAATCACTGCAACAGAATTTTCTTTCAAAATACCCTTCTCTGACATTGCTCCCAGAAAAAAAAAAAAAAAAGGTGTTATGGTAGATAAAGCATTAAAAGGGAAAATTCTTTTGAAAATGCTTCAAACACTAAATACCTTTTAGAAGTTCTAGCTAAAGGTAAAGAAAAAATAATTAGACATATACCACATTATATTCTCCAGTCATCTTCCTCCTAATTAGCAAAGGCCTTCCTTTTTGGTGCTACTGAAGGAGAAAATTTCATCAAGAATTTGTTGCCACAGCAAACACACTGGTGGGAACTGACGGAGGCATTTGTGAATATCAAATTCTTTTATTGGTAGACATTGCTGGACGCCAACAGAAAGAGTCAGATGAGGGCTATTGGGGTTATCTCCGACATGTTACAACCACAGAAGGGTTTACAATAAAAGAATGAATTTAGCCAACTGAATTCAGCCATCCACTCAAAGAGGCAAAAATAGTTCTATGGACAGTCATATACCTGTTCTGAAAACCAAGTCAAGTGTTTACTTTGACTGTAGAGCACGAGGACCCTACTTTGCCTAATAGGTTCTTTTGAAGCAGATCGGACAATATTTTTGCAATGAAATTCAGCTAACAGGGTAGTCAGAATCAAACAGCAAAATCCATGCATTTGTCTACAGAACTAATCCAAATCCTAGTCTACAGCGTTATCCAGAAAAGGTATTAAGCTGGCGAGAGTCTTACGTGCTGCTCACACAAGGCGGATCACAGCTGCAGAATATCTCCCGCCAAATCACATTTCTTAAATGAGAATTATTTCACCAACATCTGCTATGCAAAATTTTTCACCTTGTGGAATTGATCAGAGATAGTTAGCTGGCACCCTATTATCAGCCACCTCTGGAGACTTCCTGGGCCTCAATTAATTTTTCAAATGTTAACCAAACACTTCTAAGGTGTATATTCCTGATTAGAGTACTACACGTGTTCATCAATTGCTCCTAGGGTATAAAGTATACTCTCTGTGAGTGTTTGAAGTGGGAAGTGTGTGTGCATTCGACTGATGATGCCAAAGTACTTCAAAACAAATCACAATCAAGATAGTCATTTTCAAAGATACAACTTGTAAGATGTGAATTAAAGGTCACTGAATAAGTCCCCTTCCCTCAAAAAATTCACCACCCCAATTATTTTAAATGCACGTAGGAATAAGCAATAAACATTTCTTGAATTGAATGGAATTGAATTGACCCAGAAAGAGCAGGATCTCCTCACACTCCGGTAGGCTCCAACTCCAGAGCAGCCAGCACCACAGTGGAGCCTGAGTTAGTGTGAAAACAATTCACTACCAAGTCCCCAGGACCCCAAAGTCAGGTTCATACAGGAGTTAAATTACCCCTGCGGGGACTGTGAAGGCAGCCCTTATCCCAAGACTCCAACTTTCTTTTAAATAAGATTTCAGTTTTAGGAAAAGCCATTAAATACTTTAGGATCTTAAGCCTTCATATGCCATATATTTTATCTGCTTCATTTTTTTTAATCTCTTACTTGGGGGAAAAAGAGGTTTTGAAAATTGCCAGAGTTTTGCTCTGAAAAAGAAAAAAATATGATTTTTGAAGAGAGAAATTATTCACATTTGATAGCTGTTGTTGTAAGGACGTCCAGGAATCTGGAATAACCTCCCTCCAAAGCTCATTGACTTTTACTGCTGGCAGACAATGGAAATGTGGCATGTCCTTAGTGTTTAGCTTGGTGGGACATTTGTGCTCGGCTCCCAAACTCCGCAACTGCTGGGAAGCCTGCCAACCCCGAGTGTTCCCTGCCAGATCTAATCTATCTCACAACTAACCTCTTCTTAGCTGGAGATCTATTTCTAATACCTAAATATTGAGAAGGGCCATGGTTACAGACAGAAGCTTCTTTAGTTCTCATATTTGGAATTCACTCCATCCTCTTGATACTTAGCAGCCAAAGCAATTCGATCTCAAATCAACATTCCCAGTGCGTGAAGCGTCGATATGAGTCAAGAAACACCCAACAGTGCAAGGCGAAACTTTAACCAAACCACTGGCCTGTACTGCCATAAGCTTCTTTCAATCCTTGCTTGAAAAGATTACCTTTAACTCCTACTTCAACTCAGATAATTCTCCATGAATAACACTAGCATTAAATAACACTGGAGTAAAATTACTTATGTATGCTTCTCTCCCACAATCATGCAAAACCCTTTAAAACCAAAAGATTCACAGTTGTATCGTTAGCACCTATCGTTGTGCCTGGCAGGTTGCCAGAGTTTTTGGATCCAGGGGTCTTTAAATATTGTGTGCTGATTCTTCTCTGTGCAAGATACTTTATCAGTCCGCCAAAGTTGCCCAGTGACTCCCTGGGCCCAAAGGATATGAAACTCAGGCCACAAATCCATCCGGCGCAGGAAAAAAGTGACTTCTCGGCCGGGCACGGTGGCTCACGCCTGTAATCCCAGCATTTTGGGAAGAGGAGGCGGGCGGATCACGAGGTCGGGAGATCGAGACCATCCTGGCTAACGCGGTGAAACCCCGTCTCTACTAAAAATACAAAAAAATTAGCCAGGCGTGGCGGCGGGCCCCTGTAGTCCCAGCTGCTGGGGAGGCTGAGAAGAAAGAATGGCATGAACCCGGGAGGCGGAGCTTGCAGTGAGCCGAGATCGCGCCACTGCACTCCAGCCTGGGAGACAGAGCGAGACTCCGTCTCAAAAAAAAAAAAAGAGTGACTTCTCTCCCATGATTTAAATATCAGAGGAGATGTGCAAGACAGAAGGTTGGCTATTTCCAGTGTTCTGTATTTAAATGGCAAGTATAAGTCTACAAAGATTAGAAAGGGTGTGAGTCTCCTACCAGGCAGGGAAGGTGCCTGGGAACTTGGGCAGGAGGGTCAGCCAGGGAAGGAATGTCGGCACGACAGGCTTCCCCAAATTCATGCCATGCCTTGCACTGGCTCTCGAATTAAGAAAATTTAAAAGCAAAGGAAATAACCAATTTCAAAAACAAACGAGAAGGTAGAAAATATATTTTTAAAATACAGGATTTCTCTGATAAAAGCAGAAAGGGTAAATCACTGTGGTTAACATAAGGCAATTTTCCTAACTCTGCCACTGTTTGAATACTGGATTAGCTATTAGCCTTCCAGTTAATAGTATATACATACTAAATATGATTATGTGTAAAAGTGGATGGATGGATAGATGATCTGCCTTAACTTAAAAACAATAGTGAGATCGGCATGATTACATGGACTAAAAAAGAAAAGCTGCTTGAAATGAAGTAATTCCATACTGATGATCTCAGGCATGAGGGAGCAAACGACTTTGAATGTGATGTGAGCGCTGCGTTTCATATGTTGGTCTCATGTGGCTTCCCTTTCAGCTCTTAACTGTCAAAGAAATTAGATGAAAACATAAAAGCTGACCCCAGGAGGCCGGGCGCGGTGACTCACGCCTGCAATCCCAGCACTTTGGGAGGCCGAGGGGGGCGGATCACGAGGTCAGGAGTTCAAGACCAGCCTGACCAATATGGTGAAATGCCGTCTCTACTAAAAATACAAAAATTAGCTGGGCGTGGTGGCGTGCACCTGTAGTCCCAACTACTAGGGAGGCAGGAGAATCGCTTGAACCTGGGAGGTGGAGGTTGCAGTGAGCTCGCACCACTGCACTCCAGCCTGGGCGACAGAGCGAGACTCCGTCTCAAACAAAACAAACAAACAACAACAACAAAAAAAGCTGAAACCTGGTAACCTAACCTTTATGTGCTCAAAGTCCAAAGAGGGAGAGAAATCACAATAATAAGAAAAGAGAAAAAGAGGAGGACACCCAATTGAAAGAAGCTATTTTGTTCAAAGACATAGAAGTTAGCATATAAAGAAATTTACTGTTAAAAAAAAAATCACTCACACTCAAGGTGATAACATATTGAGGTCTATACATTGCAGCAATAACTAAAGCAAAAGATAGGAATTAACCTTCCCCAAACAACTGCAATTGCACAAGGTATAGGATTGTTAGATAAAATACAGGACCCACAGCTAAATTTCACTTTCAGAAAAACAATGATTCTTTTAGTCTAAGTCTCTCCCAAATATTTCATGAGGTATGATTCTACTAAAATATTCTTTATTGTTTGTCAAAAATCTAGATTTAACTGGATATCCTGCATTTTCACTTGCTAAATCCAGCAGTCCTACCTATGTGTCCATCTATATCTGAATTTCTAAACACCTACAAAAATATTATTCAGCTTGTCATAAAATCACACTCAAATGCCCATACTCTGACAGCTGTTCAGATGCTAATACACAGTTTCCTGCCATTTGCAGCAAAAAAAAAATTGAGCCACAATTACTTCCTATATTTTAAAGTGATGGCAACAAAAGCATATTAGGAAAAAAATAATCAGAATTCTTCTCACCCTCCAGTGCTTGAGTCCTGGCCATGCTATCTCTCTTGCTTTTTATAGTGAATCAGCAGTTCCAAGGGTAAAATTGCCTCATGAAGTTCCAGGGCGTGAATCGGATTAAGTGAGTGGGCCACATTGTGTACCAAATTTAGAAGAGGATACGCAAACACTTAGTAATCAAAATCAATAACATTGTAATGTAATATTGTTAATAAACTTGATTCTTTAGAGGAGTTTTAGGTTCATAGCAATATTGAATCGAAGCAATGTTGCAGGTACAGGGATAGCCCACAGGCCCCTGCCTACACGCATGCGCAGCCTCCCCCATTAACAACATCCCCCCACTGGAATGGTACAAGGCTTACAATTGATACATCATGAGCACCCACAGTTCAGAATTTACACAAGGGCTCACTCTTGGTGTGGTTCATTCTCCGTGTCTAGACACACGTATAATGGCATGCATCCACCCTTATAGTATCATACAGAGTAGTTTAACTGCCCTAAAAGTCCCCTATGTTCCACCTGTTCATTCCTCCCTCTCCTGTAACCCTTGGCAACCACCGATTCTTTTACTGTGTCCATAGTTTTGCCTTTTCCAGAATGTCATATAGTTGGAATTACGGCATATAGCCTTTTTAGATTGGCTTCTTTCACTCAGTAACATGTATTTAAGTTTCCTCCATGTCTTTCCATAGCTGGATAGCTCATTTCTTTTTAGCACTGAATATTTCATTGTTTGGATATACTACAGTTGTTTTATACATTTATCTACTGAAGGACATCTTGTGTACTTCCAAGTTTTGGCAATTATGGATAAAGCTGCTATAAACATTTATGTGCGAGTTTTTGTGTGGTTATAAGTTTTCAGCTCCTTTGGGTAAATACCAAATATATTTTAAAATCAAAATTAATGCAAAAAATTCATGATTCACAAAATATCAAAAATTGGAATCAAAATAGGATTAGCATGACTACTCCTCACTTGCCTCTCCTTAATCCTGGCCCTGGTTGTTAACCTTTGAGACACTGATGAACACCTGTGTCATCTTGAAGCTTTTCCTGTTGGCTCAGTAACAGTGATATACCACTCCTCAGCTCCTGTGGCTCAGTTGCTGTGCGTGGTTATCTTTGTAAGCTGGACGGAGACACCCTGAAACCAGTCCACGGCCACCACCCTCATCAGGCTGCAGAGAGCACAGCAGAGCTACATCTAAAAACACACCATTTCTGTTGCAACCATCATAGATGCATTTTCTGACCAATAGAAATAAACTGTCTTCATAAAGAGATTTTTTTCTACTTTACATTAAAATGCTGTATGGACAAGCAATGACTCCATGACGTCTAAGATTGTGTCTTAAATTGTAACACACATCTAACATCTTAGCCAGAAAGTTGTCTTTCAAGGTGAAAATAGGGAATGTTTGGTTGCCCTTATTTTACAAACAGATAGTCCTTTTTCTGCATATTGGTATGGAGAGTATAAATAAACATACAACCTGAAACCATGCAACGTAATCTTAATAATCAATGTAAAAAATTATGATTGTTCCATGACTTTTAAAACGTTGGGGTGAAAGATATGAACAGAAAATTCTCAAAAGAAGACATTTATGCAGCCATCAAACATATGAAAAAAAGCTCATCATCACTGGTCATTAGAGAAATGCAAATCAAAACCACAATGAGATACCATCTCATGCCAGTTAGAATGGCAATCATTAAAAAGTCAGGAAACAACAGATGCTGGAGAGAATGTGGAGCAATAGGAACACTTTTACACTGTTGGTGGGAGTGTAAATTAGTTCAACCATTGTGGAAGACAGTATCATGATTCCTCAAGGATCCAGAACCAGAAACACCATTTGACCCAACAATCCCATTACTGAGTATATACCCAAAGGATTATAAATCATTCTACTATAAAGACACATGCACACATATGTTTATTGCAGCACCATTTACAATAGCAAAGACCTGGAACCAACCCAAAAGCCCATCACTGATAGGATGGGTAAAGAAAATGTGGCACATATACACCATGGAATACTATGCAGTCATAAAAAAGAATGAGTTCATGTCCTTTGCAGGGACATGGATGAAGCTGGAAGCCATCTTTCTCAGAAAACACACACAGGAACAGAAAACCAAACACCACATGTTCTCACTCATAAGCGGGAGTTAAACAATGATAACACATGGACACAGGGAGGGGAACATCACACGCCAGGGCCTGTCACAGGGTAGGAGGCAAGGAGAGGGAAAGCATTAGGACAAATACCTAATACCTAGATGACGGGTTGATGGGTGCAGCAAACCACCATTGCACATGTATACCTATGTAACAAACCTGCATGTTCTGCACATGTATCCCAGAACTTAAAGTATCATAATAAAAAAATAAAAAACTTTCTTACTGCTTATTATAAATGCATATGGAAATAAAAAATTAGTTAAGCTACTATTTATTTGAAACAGAAACATGGAGAATGTTATTTCTTTGTAAAAACAAACAAACAAAAACAAATAAAACAACTTCAGCAATTCCTTTTCTGGGTATATACTCAAAGGAAATTAAGTCAACATCTCATAGAGATAAATCTGCATTCCATTGTCTATTGCAGCATTATTCCTAATACCCAAAATTTGGAAACAACCTGAGTGTCCATCAATGGGTGGATAAAGAAATTATGCTATACATAATGCAATATTATTCAGCTTAGAACAAATCCTGCCATTTGTCACAAAATGCATGGATCAGGAGGAGGACATTATTCTTTTTTTTTTTTTTTTTTTTTTTTTGAGACGGAGTCTCGCTCTGTCGCCCAGGCTGGAGTGCAGTGGCGGGATCTCGGCTCACTGCAAGCTCCGCCTCCCGGGTTCACGCCATTCTCCTGCCTCAGCCTCCCGAGTAGCTGGGACTACAGGCGCCCGCCACTACGCCCGGCTAATTTTTTGTATTTTTAGT
The DNA here is from genome assembly GCF_000001405.40 of Homo sapiens. Classification (NCBI taxonomy): domain Eukaryota; kingdom Metazoa; phylum Chordata; class Mammalia; order Primates; family Hominidae; genus Homo; species Homo sapiens. The sequence continues at coordinate 17,714,666 of NC_000005.10, read as the reverse complement.
AGAGACGGGGTTTCACCGTTTTAGCCGGGATGGTCTCGATCTCCTGACCTCGTGATCCGCCCGCCTCGGCCTCCCAAAGTGCTGGGATTACAGGCGTGAGCCACCGCACCCGGCAGAGGAGGACATTATTCTAAGTGACATAAGCCAGACACAGAAAGAAAAATACTACATGATCTAACTTATATATGGAATCTAAAAAATGTTGAATACCTAGAAATAGAGAGTAGAATGGTGGTTGGTGGAGATGTGATGGGGGTGGCAGGTCAAAGGGTACAAACTTGTAGTTATGTAGGATGAGTAAGTCCAGATACCTCATGTCCAGCATGAGGATAAAGATAATATTGTAAGCTGGAAATTTCCTAAGAGCATAGATTTTAGGTGCTTTTATCACACACACAAAAAAATGGTAACTATGTAAGATGATGATATGTTGATTTGCTTGACTGTAGTAACCATTTCGCTATGTATATCAAAACATTATGTTGTACACCTAAATATACATAATTTAATCAAAAGATTATGTTGTACACTTAAATATACATAATTTTAAAAGGAAATAAAAAACCTACTTATAATCACCCCACCATTAAGAAAAGAAAAAATAAAAACTTACCAAAAGTAGTTTAAACAGTGCTTGCCTTCTTCTCATGTGATAATTGACAACATGGAGTGAGTATCTTTGCTATGTCTTGGTGAATTATCATAATCTTTTCGAAGTTTGGATGGGCTTTGAACTCTATTCTTTATGCTTCCAATGTCATGAAATATCTCCAAGAGTTCCTCTAATGTAAAGTTTTTTGCCAGCATCACTTCCTCTGGGACATCATCATCCTTTTTGTCACAACCACTCTCCTCATTCATGTCGGTAAGTTCTCGGTCACTAAGTTCCCCTGATTGCAGTGTCCACGTGGTGGATACACGGTGGAGATGGCCACATCTATACCTTCTAAAATTCCATTTACTTTTCATGCAAACTTTACTCTTTACCTTGTCACTTTCTGTTCTCCTCTGGACTTTGATCTTTGTTGGTCAGTTTCCACTTCCTATTATCTAGTTTTGCGAAATGTCATGTGGGTTTATCACTGAAGACAAGGAAGCAACACAACCACATGCTTACTCCTTTTAACTGATGCATGGTGACCAATCACCAGCAGATTTCAAAAGAAGTGATGTGATTGGTCATTGATCATCTTTTATTTGTGTAGTGATTCATGGACTAAAGAGCTAGCAGTGAAGTGTGTACTTTATGGGGTTATGCATAGTTAATATACTGTGGTAACTGAAGTTTAAGCCATACTGTGAGTGCTACTTAACTAGACTATGGTAACTGAAATTCATGCATATTGGAACTATGCAAAGTAAGAACTGCCTATATTCTAATCTCTTGCTTAATACTTCTAGCATTAAAATAGAATTGACTGAATATACAAGTTACATAATTGAATTTAGCATATTTTTCTCCTATTACCATTCAAAACATATTTTATACAAAATATATTTTCTTGGTTCCTCATCCCCTTCCCTTTCCAAAATAATATTAACATTCTTATAAACTTTTCCATACTAACATATCATAGAGAATGAAAAAGCCAATTCCTGAGGCCCGTACTCTCTCCCAGACAGCATGCACATGGTATTGTATAACCATTCAACAACCATGCTGAGGTCAACACCATTCCAACACAGTATGCCTTTCTAAGATTAGAGCCTAGAAAATTTCAAACTGTATTTCATAGTCTCCCCTAAAGCAAGGATTTTGCATGTGAACTAACATCTACTAAGCAGATATAGCCGCTGAGACTTGGAAGATGGAAGTCGGCACCATGGGCTTCAAGCTCTTCTGTGGTCTCCTGTGATGGTGGTGGCAGAAGAGGTTTTCTTAAGGTTCAGTCCCTAGTTTTCTGGTTGCCAAGAAGCAGGTACAGCGGCAACAGTGGATTCCACTGGAAGAGTCCCATGTCATAGCACAGTATACACGCTTGGTTATCTGACACTCCAGGAAATTACATAAGCAACCTTATATCCCATAATAAATCCCTTTAGGCTGTAAACAGCTAGAGTGGAAATTATTATTTGCAGTGAACACCATGAGAGATACAGGTGTTAATTTGCAGATTAGTTTTAATGATGCTCCATATCCAACCTCTTTATTTCTTGTGTATATTTTTCTAAGAGATAAAAACAATTTAAATGAAAAATAAATTGTCTCAGATACTAAGTAAAAGTAGTTCAACCCAAATCCAATGAACTATGCATGTACTATCTTCAGCTCATCCAACTTCTTAAACTTAAATCAATGAGGCAGAAAATTCAGACACTTTTAAATTCAAATGTTTTGATTTTCCTATTTGATTAAAAATTGGCTCCCTGAGCACCAAATTTCTAGTTCCTTATGCCTGCCAAGGATAATTTTCTTCTAAAATTAGAACCCACATCTTCTATTACTTGCCATGCCTAACAAAGCAAGCAACACAAAGCAAAGAGTCTAGGTTAAAAACAAGCAAAGGTTGTACAAAAGAAATAGTAAGAAATTGGCCACTTTATCCATTCAAAAGAGAAAAACCACAGCTAGATTTCAAGGAGAAGAAAATAAATAAATAAATAAATAAATAAATAAATAAATAAATAAATAAATAAATATAAATCAATGTCTTTTAAAATGTCCTAGGAACATTTATTTCCAGTAAAACCTCGGGGTTCTTTTTTAGTCTAAAATGTTGAAAGCCGTGGGTTTCATACCTTTCTCCCTGCTGTATGATAACTAATGTTTAGAGTCAGAGTTAGGAAGGTAAAAGACTTTTACCTTTTTATCCACATTCTGATACCAACTACGTCTGTGATTTCAGATCAGTCATTGAACACTGAGTCTTTACTTCCCAACCTATGAAATGAGGACTGTGGTCTAAGTCATCTCTGAGATTTCTTTCAGTGCAAACACGGTTTCTTTGTATGACTTCCAGTGTAAAATGCGTATATTGCCAGAGCCAGAAAATGCCATCAGAGTTATGATCTCCATTGCATGCCTCCATAAGAGAAAAATAGCCACCCTCAGCACTGAATGCTTCCATTTGTAAACAATAAAATATTTCATTACTCTGGCTTATAAATTTAATTGTATTCTTTTTACCAAGGATATGTTTTCACCTAAATGAATTATTTTTAAACTAATATTGGTTGAGGGATTACTGTTTATCAAATCTTGCCAATGCTTTATGTGTGTGGTCTCATTTGTCATAACACCCTTATGAGGTACTGCTCCTTTTTTTAAATAGATGAAACCACTAAACAGAGAAAGGATAACTGACTTGACCCAGGAAATAGAATTTCTAAATAGAAATGCAATACAATCTTCCCTCACTAACCAACCTCAATTTATTCCTGAAAACCCTGCCACCAAGTGAAAAACAATTATATAAGAATATTTCCATTTATTTTAATGGGAAGAATCATAATATATTTCATCCAACATAAGATATTCAAATACTTTTATAATTGAACAATGGAAATAAGTTTATGTAAGTAATAAAAATGCAAGTTGGAAGAAAATAAATTTAGTGTGTACATAAATTATTGTGAGAAAATACAAGATGCTTGACATGTACTATCATAAAGGTTTACTGCGTCAAGAAAGCAGGGCGTGACTGATGGCTGATGGAGAGAAGGAATGAGGTGGCATACCTCAAAGATCAATTCTTTCTTATGCACCATTTTAGTCACCAAAATTTTTGACCCGGGGATGGAGGCTCATTATTGTATCTTGCATTCAAAGTACACTTAAAGTTATAGCACAGAAAAAAAAGAAGAAAAAATAAAAGCTAAATACAGTCTTTAAAAACACGTTTAAAAAGTGCATGTTTACATCAGACTGAATAGTCAGAGAGGATATGTTTGCTTCATCTTCCTCATTTGGTCACATATACAAAGGAAAACATATTAGATGCATATTTCCAGGCATTTCATATACTATTTTATAACTAGTGCCTGTTGTGATGAGTAGCAGGTGAGTGTGTCTTTGCTTGGAATATTAATGTTGGAGTATAAATTGCTTATAGCATATTTATTTAAAGAACTTTGGGGTAAAAGGGCCACACACTGACAAAATAAAAGTTGTCTGAAAATGATACAGCTTTTTAATAACTGCAATAGCAAAAACTAGCTCATTGAACAGTAAGTACAAGAGAAAGACTGCATGACCTCACAGCTAATATACAACTCCAAGGTAAGATGGCATTGGCCTGGTAGATAACTATCTGTTAGAAGTAATGGAATGTGATAGCTTTATGAGGCATAGACTGAGCTAAGCTAAACTACAGGCCCCAGAATTCCCTTTCTGGTATGTTTCTGGTTGGAATGAACTACAAGAGATGTTGTCTCACAAGAGTTGGAGGACAGAAGAGGAAGCAGCAGGGTTTTAGCAGGCACACCTTCTCCCAGGTATTCAACCAAACATGAATCTAGGTACCATTGTAAATGGATTCTGCAGATGTACTTAAAGTCCCCAATAGAGGACTTTAAGTTCATCAATAAAGAGATTATCCTGATTAGGTCAGGACCACTCAATTAGGGACTTTAAGATAATAGCCCCTAAATGGGCGATCCTGACTTAATCAGTTGTGAGTCTCTCAAAAGATGGCTTAGGTCTTCGCTAAACCCAAAGACCCCAACCAGCAGCTGCAATTGCTCCCCATTTCCCTTGAATCTTCCTTCCTGACTGCCTGCCTATTAAACATTCACCCAGGCCCCAGGGGCTCTTCCCTTCCTGACTACCTGTCCTGTGATCTCTGGACAAGCTTAGCTAGCTGCACAGTTATGTAAGCCAATTCCTCATCATAATCCCCTTAAAATATGTATCTACTGGTTTTGCTTCTTGGATGAACTCCTACTGATACACAGACTATAGCTGTAATTTTAAGATTATAGTTGGAAAAACTGTTGCATACATTCTAGAGATGGAAGAAGTTGGCTTATAGGATATGAGAATGGAGTATTAGACTACTTACTTCTATGCATTTTTATCTCACAGAGAGAGAGAAAGAAATTAAGTTTGGACAATATTTATAACACATTAAATTTCATACCCTCACTTAGCCCCTATGTCAGAGAGTGACTTGTTCCAACCAATACATGAAGTGGCCTCAGGGAAAAACTACAGAAATTCCATGGCATGCAGGGAATGACAGCAGAACCCTCTTCATTCTGTAGCACCAAATTACAACACACTGGCCCTGTGGGTTATAGAGTAACCATTATTACAAACGCATGGATTTATGAAATACATAATGTTAACTACATTAAAATTTTAAAAATAGGCCCCTAGTTTAAAAGACTGTAGCAAGTAAATTGAGTTGAGTAGATATCAATAATTCAAGCACAAATGAACTATGGCAAGTGGTAAAACCAATTCTTCCACTCTCGATACAGGTTCATCTTCAGCCACAAATCCAGGTGAGAAAAGTGATGACCTAACAGATTTGATGGGGAATTGGGGGGAAACAACTTAATTACCAACAAGACTATTTGAGTTATAGTATAGGTACATACATATACTATGCACATACACATATGCATATGCATATAAAATAGTGAACCTTGTCCTAATTATAAATTTTTCTCAAGATAATATGAAGTCATCATAATTAATTATATTTTTATATTATTTATTTAACTCAAGTTAATCCTAATTAATTTCTTTTTGGTGAACATTTTCTAATGTATATAATATATTAGTAAAATAATATATTAGATAATCTAAAAATAAGTAAATAAAAAACTGTAGAAACATGCATCCTTTTTAAAGATACTTTGGGCATAAAAGATTATCTTTCACAAGTTTTAGAATATTAACTTTTTTTCTTTTTTCTCTTATTAGCCTTTGAAGATTGTAATAAAAGATATAAAACAACTGATTCAAATCAGATAATTTCAGACATTCCTTCTAGCTTTAGTCTTTAGTCTATGAATCTCTAGTAGCCTTTTTTTACTTATTATTTCTCAAATTCTGTGGCCCACCACTTCCTGTTAGAAAAACCCTCCTTAACAAATGACCTTCTTACCTTGTCTTCGTCTTTTAGCTTCCACAGTGACCAAGTTATGCTTTTCTTTTGCACAATGGGAACCTTTAAATCCACAAGTGACTTATAATCAACCATCTCCTTGAACACTACCCAGCTCCTCATTGTGCTGTGTGGAACACAGATGCCAACCAAGGCCAAGCAACAAGAAATGAAATAAGGAGCTTGGCTCCTTCAGGCCATGATGCTCTCACTACCCTAACCCTGGATTCCCTGACTGGACTTCGACAGAACAATAAATTCTATCTTGCTGATGCCACTATAATTTGAGATTTTGCTGTCACATGTAGTTTAATTTAGTCTTAACAACATATGCAAATGTTTACATAATATATTTTTTAATTAAAAAGTAGAATCATCATATATTGACCTGGAGAATAATATCTTGACAACCTTTCTAGGACTGAATATATAGAGCTACTTCACTCTTTTTTTTTTATTATTATACTTTAAGTTTTAGGGTACATGTGCACAATGTGCAGGTTAGTTACATATGCATACATGTGCCATGCTGGTGCGCTGCACCCAGTAACTCGTCATCTAGCATTAGGTATACCTCCCACTGCTATCCCTCCCCCTCCCCCCACCCCACAACAGTCCCCAGAGTGTGATGTTCCCCTTCCTGTGTCCATGTGATCTCATTGTTCAATTCCCACCTATGAGTGAGAATATGCGGGTTTGGTTTTTTGTTCTTGCGATAGTTTACTGAGAATGATGATTTCCAGTTTCATCCATGTCCCTACAAAGGACATGAACTCATCATTTTTTATGGCTGCATAGTATTCCATGGTGTATATGTGCCACATTTTCTTAATCCAGTCTATCATTGTTGGACATTTGGGTTGGTTCCAAGTCTTTGCTATTGTGAATAGTGCCGCAATAAACATACGTGTGCATGTGTCTTTATAGCAGCATGATTTCTAGTCCTTTGGGTATATACCCAGTAATGGGATGGCTGGGTCAAATGGTATTTCTAGTTCTAGATCCCTGAGGAATCGCCACACTGATTTCCACAATGGTTGAACTAGTTTACAGTCCCACCAACAGTGTAAAAGTGTTCCTATTTCTCCACATCCTCTCCAGCACCTGTTGTTTCCTGACTTTTTAATGATTACCATTCTAACTGGTGTGAGATGGTATCTCATTGTGGTTTTGATTTGCATTTCTCTGATGGCCAGTGATGATGAGCATTTTTTGATGTTGTTACTTCATTCTTTTAAATGGCCGCATCTGTTCAATTAAAATAGCATATATAGAGAGTGTGTACACCATATTTTATTTAACCATTTCTGTTAAGCTTGTTTCACAGCTCTGGTTATCATAAACAAAAGCCCCAGTCAACATCCTCAAAGGTGTTTCTTTCTACATGTATAGAAATATCCCTCTCAGATTAATTTCATAGTGTAATTATTGAGTCCAAAAGTATTCATATTTCCAATGAACTCCAAGTTGCCTTTCTAAATATATTCCCCTTTTTTTCTCCAATCTTTAGTAAACCAGTTGTCAGTGGAAGTAGTATGCATCAACCTAATCTGCTTTTTTTGAATTTTATAAACTCCTTAAAAGCCCTTTTTTCCAGACTAAAAATTCTCCGTACTTTACTGTGTAGCATAGTTTTCACACATTTCATTCTCATAATAGCTAACTCTAGTTTATTAATATTTCTTAAATATGCCAACCAAAACTGTTCATATTACTACAAGTCAAGAGCTGGAACTTTTTTTTTCTATAAAGGTCCAGAAGTAAATATTTTAGGCTTTGTGGGTTAAGTCAACTCTGTCATAACCATTCAACTCTGGCATTGAAGCATAAAACTACCCTAGACCATATGAAAACAAATGCATGTGGCTATGTTCCAATAAAACTTTATTTACAAAAACAGACAGTGGGCCAGATTTGGGCCATGGGCTATAGTTTGTTATAAATTATAGTTTTACTATAATTTACCTTGATCTGAAAAACAGAACTAATGACTAGTGATGAATTAGGTATGTATAGAAGAAAATTAAATTTCATTTACTGCCTAACACACAGTGGGTGCACACTGTTTGTTGAATTAATAAGTAGGAAAGTTATGTATGAGATATGTGAATAATCCCACACTTAACATAAAAGAAGAATGCATTTGAAAAAATATATACATTAAAAGCAAAAAATAGTAATATCTTCCCAGTGTTTCCACTAAGATGTAAGAATAGGTGCGTTATTAAAAAAAAAAAAAGGAGTGGGATTCATAATGGAAAATATGTGGAGAGGAATGTAAAGATGAAAAAGGAGCTGGCTGAAGAAGCCCAAAATAAAATCACAAAATTTAAATCTACTTTCAAGGAATAAGGTATAGAATTAAGATGTATTCTATCATTTTTAATTTTTAAAATACAAATGAGATTAAATGGTTTTCTGTCTAATTCAGCACTTCTCTAATGACTTAGCAAAGAGTAGTATTAACTCAAATACGCTTCAATTGAGTGCCTACCATATGCCAGGCACTGGGTAAGGAACCCTCCATCATTGTCTCATTCAATAACAACAACGATATGAATTCATAGGGTTTCTTCCTTCCATTTTATAGATCATAAAATGAGAGCTAAGAGGAGTTAAGTCACTGTACCAGTGTCACAAAACAAGTGTATTACTTAGAGTCATGCTCCCTATTCAAAAACTGGGCACAAATGGTTAACTGGCCAAAATATATAAAATATGCAAAATAGCTAGCTATTTCAGCTATCTTTGGTACATATTAACAGCTACTTTATATTATCTCATGATTCTGTGGGTAGACTGGTGGGTTCTACTGCTCCCTGTGATCCCTGATGGGCTGCAGTTTTCCGAAGGTTTGACTGAGCTGGCTCTTTCCCATACTAGAAAATTGCCCTGGCTGTAGTCTAGGAAGTCAGTTGGAGTTCTCAACCAGAGAGCCTCACTTCTTCTCCACGTTGTCTCTCCACATGGCATGGGCTTCTCACAGTATGGTGTCTGGGTTGCAAGAAGCAGGAAGTGAAATGTGCCAGACCATTTGTGTCCTGACTTAGAACATTTTTTTCTGCTGCATCCTATTAGTCAAAGCCAATCAAAGCTAACACAGATTCAAGAACAGGGAAATCAGCTCTACCCTTTGATGTGAAACATCAAGATGTGAAACAAGTGTATACAAAAGTGAAGAAATTACTGGTGGCCATCTTTGGAGATAATATCGCAAAATAAATTATTATAAATATAAGCAAGAAATAAACACAAAATGAAGTATCTGTCATTTATATATGACAGTCCAAGCTGAAGGATGCCTGGTCATCAGACAGCTCTCCTCTATGCAGTGATTCAGAGACAAGGTCCTTTCCACAATTTACAGGCTCATAATCATTTTCATCTAGGAAGAGGAGGAGAGGAAAGCATAGAGAAGGCACCCGCTTCTTAAAGCCTCTAAGGAAGTGATATACATTAATTCCAAGGACAATCATAATCAGTAATCATACAACCACACCTTGATATGTGCAGGCCAGCAAATCTCCTTAGTCACTGTCTGGACGACTGTTCCATCATTCTCCCCTCTTTTTCAACAAAACCAACTTGGCTGACCATCTTAGTCAAGGCTAATAGTAAAAGAAAAAACCAGGACTGGAGCCTAGATCTATATAACTCTAGAACACAGGTTCTCTCCATCATGCCTACAGAAAAGAGGAGTCCCTACTCTAGGGACCTTATAGAGGAGGACAAGTGAACTGAGTAAAAATTATGGTATAATAATTACTACAATTAAGATAGACATTGGATCTATGGGAGTAGATTTTGGCATAGAAGAATATGAAGAGTAGCAGAAGACAAGCTTTGAGAAATAAGAAATAAGAAGGAGGCAGATGAGGAAAGACTTTATTGTAATGATAATGTATTTTTAAAAACCATGGAATGATTTTAATGAGGGGGAATGATCTGGTAAGTATTTGGAAATATTATCCTATTCATATAATCCAACATAAAGATTAAACAATAGGTCTTCAATAATACCTTGAATTATTCTATCATGATGAAGGTAATTTACCTGGGTAAGAAGATATTCTCATGAAAAGGATGCAAATTGTCTCTATTATTTACACGTTGTACATCATTTCTCTTCTAACCTATCTATGCTATTTTTTCTAGCATGAAGATCATTCTTCTTAGTAGAAAAGATAACCATAAAATGTAATTTGAAAAGTGTTTTTCCCTTACAAAAATAGGGTTTGTTCTTTTTGTTTCACATAGCTTTACCTTTTAAAATATCCACAGCAATTTTTAGCATTAATTCCAACTTAAATTATCAAGTAAAGTATCAGAAAGCACTTGAGATAGTGTTTAAAGATGAAGCTGATGGCCCAGCAATGAAGTGAAGGGCATGCAACCATGAAGTCCCATCTGATCCCTTTAGAAAATGTTGAGAAACAGATGTGCTCAAAGATAGCTGTGCAGAAACATAGTTTAAAATATGGCAAAAATATGTTAAGGCCACATCCAGGAGTTCCTAGAATAACTTAGAAGTTTTACTTTATGCAGAAGCATTGAACGGCATTGTGGAGATCCAACCTCTCCAAGCTGAGTTTTTAGAAAAAAACTAAGTATGGTTTGGATGAATATAAGAACTAAAATTAAGATTCCTAGACCAGTTATGAGTTTATTACAGCCATTAAGGTGAGGGATCTGAAGGGCGGACTAAGCAGTGGCAGGGGAGCATGCTCAGAGTTGAGCACTGCAAGAGAAGCTGGGGAACATGAAGTCAATGCTGAGGATTCTCATCAATGAAACCCAATGGTAATGCCATGGACCCAGGTAGGCTGCACTTGAACTTGGGAAGTTTAGGAGGCAAATATTTTTAACAATTTGAAATACATTCTGCCAAGGCATCAAAATAGAATATTGAGGAAAATATTAGAAATTCACATCTGATGATGAGGAAAGAGACCAAGGTCACATAAGTTTAAGGGCAAGAATAAGTGGCCCTGCTTTCCTAGCTACTGGTTCCTGGAAACCATTTTTTAGCACTATCTTCTGAGCTCTAGTTGACAGTTTCCCACATACATGTGGTTTACTTGCTTGGGATTTTCATGGTGAAGACAGTCTGTGTCTGTGTGTGTTTATGTGTGTGTGTGTGTGTGTGTGTGTGTGTGTGCATTTTTTTCTTGATTATTGGGAGAAAATAAACTAACCGGAAATGAAAAAAATGCAAATTATTGACTCAGGAGTTGCCAAGTTACTAGTTTAATCCCTAAGACACTCAGCACAGTAACAACTGAATTCTCCATATCATGATGAATATATTTTCTCACACAGTAAAAATTGCCACCTAACACAAATTCTTTTCCATTACTGTCACTCGACCTTTACTTGTAATCTAAAGGATTACTACACAGCAGAAAAAGCACCTAGTCACTGTGACTATATAAAATTAACTTTTTATATCCCCAAAATCACAAATTCCCACAGATCAAAGCACTGACTCCTGGATAAAATATAATAAATTCTGATGTGATCATGAAACCAAAGTGTTCAATGTGATTATAAAATTTGAAGTTAATAAAAGTCATGTGAAATAATCCCCTATATATAGAACCCTACTGATTTACATTTTAATGAAAACTAAGCATTACTTAGGAAAGGTGGACTTTTAAAAGCATATGAAAAGAAATTTATTTCAGAACGCAGGCCTGGAGTTCTGAAAACTCTTCTAGTCTTTTAAAACATACACCCTCAGAAGTTCTTCAGAGACCTAGAATTTGTAGGCATACTTCAGTTTTCCTATTCTTACTCCTTATCTCCTTTTTTCAAATCCTAATTTACAGCATTTGTAAAGCCCAGCTAGGATGAAAGTAATGTAAACAGGCAGCTATGGGCAGATTTTGTTGTAAATATAGAAACTAAAGGCTTGGAGCGATATCTGAATCCTATTCACTTGGCAGTGATGTAGATGTTCAGACAGGACAAATTTTCACTGGAAGGTATGGCTATAAATAAAAATTTTCCCACAGAGAAAGTAACAAAATGTCATCTCTTTCTATATGAGCCTGAAAGTGAGCTAGCTCTTTTCCTCCTCTCTGTTAGTCAGCCTTGAGCTGGGCTTTCTCATCTTTAAATAAGAGACATCTATTTTTATTTTATTTTTAGTTCTCTTCTCTCAACTTTTATTTTAAGTTCAGGGAGTACATGTGCAGGTTTGTTGCATGGGTAAACTGTGTGTCACTGGGGTTTGGTGTACAAATGATGCCATCACCAGGTAGTGAGCATAGTGAGATGTTTGTATCCTCATCCTCTGCCCACCTTCTGCCTTCAAGTAAGCCTCAATGTCTGTTGTTCCCTTCCTTGTGTCTATGTGTACTCAATGTTTAGTTCCCACTTATAAGTGAGAACATAGGGTATTTGGTTTTCTGTTCCTGCATTAATTCACTTAGGATAATGGCCTCTGGCTCCACCTACGTTGCTGCAAATGGCATGATTTCATTTTTATGGCTGTGTAGTATTCCATGGCATATATGTACCACATCTGCTTTATGAACATACAGATGCATGTGTCTTTTTGGTAGCATGATTTATATTCCTTTGGGCATATACCCAATAATGGGAATGCTGGGTGGAACAGTAGCTCTGTTTTAAGTTCTTTGAGAAATCTCTAAACTGCTTTCCACAATGGTTAACTTATATACATTCCCACCAGCAGTATATAAGCATTCCCTTTTCTCTGCAACCTCAAAAACTTTATGACAGTCTCCAAAAGCAATTGAAACAAAAATAGACAAGTGGGACATAATTAAACTAAAGAGCTTCTGGGCAGCAAAAGAAACTGTCAACAGAATAAACAGACAGTCCACAGAATGGGAGAAAATATTTGCAAGCTATTCATTCCACAAAGGTCTCATGCCCACCCAGCATCTGTAAGGAACTTAAACAAATCAACAAGCAAAACACAAACAACCACATTTAAAAATGGGCAAACAACATGAACAGACATTTTTCAAAAGAAGACATACATGAGGCCACAAGTATATGAAAAAATGCTCAGCATCACTGATCGTTAGAGAAATGTAAATCAAAACCACAATGAGATACCATCTCTCACCAATCAGAATGTCCATTGCAGTCAAAAAATACATGAGACACATTTAAAGTCCTAGTTACAATCTGAAACAAAACACCTCACTAGTAATGTGAGCTCAGCCATTTTATAAGTAACTTGTCAGAGAAACTTAAAGACATCTCAGCTAGTGGACCCAAGGAAGACCTTGAGGACCATAAAGGAACCTTTCATTGGTCCGGAATCCATCACCACAGCAGTCATCTCACACAGAGGAAGCCACTGCCCTCTCCTGTGTCCTATCACCTTTGCAGTCTCCACGGTGATAATAATCATTTACAACCATTTTACCAAGACGAAAACTGGTTCAGAGAACTGACCAGTCATGCAACTTGTGGGGGCTCCTTGGTTGAAAGAAGTTATAACTCAGAAATAATAAAGAACTACACCACTTTTCTTTTCTTTCTCTTAATTTAACTTAACTTTATTTTAAGTTCCAGGATACAGTGCAGGACATGCAGGCTTGTTACATAGGTAAACATCTGCTATGGTGGTTTGCCGAACCTATCAACCCGTCACCTAGGTATTAAGCCCTGCATATATTAGCTATTTCTCCTGATGTCCTCCTTCTTCTCACCCCGCGAACAGGCCCCAGGGTGTGTTGTTTCCCTCCCTGTGTCCATGTGCTCTCATTGTTCAGCTCCCACTTATAAGTGAGAACATGCTGTGTTTGATTTTCTGTTTCTGTGTTAGTTTGCTGAGGATAATGGCTTCCAGCTCCATCCATGTCCCTGCAAAGGACATGATCTCATTCCTTTTTTCGCTACATAGTATTCCACGGTGTGTGTGTACCACATTTTCTTTATCCAGTCCATCACTGATGGGCATTTGGGTTGATTCCACATCTTTGTTATTGTGAATAGTGCTGCATTCTATTTATAGAATGGCTTATATTCCTTTAGGTATATACCAAGTAATGGGATTGCTGGGTCAAATGGTATGTCTGGTTCTAGATCCTTGAGGAATTGCCACACTGTCTTCCACAATGATTGAACTAATTTACATTCCAACTAAGAGTGTAGAAGTGTTCCCATTCCTCCACAGCCTTGTCAGCATCTGTTGTTTCTTGACTTTTTGATAATCACCATTCTGACTGGTGTGAGATAGCTATGCCACTTTTCAAGGGGGAGGAAACAATCCTCTTCAATTGGAAATGTATGTGATCCATATATTTTTAAGGACTAAGGAGCTGAAAAATGATCAGTGTTGACAGAAGGAAGGAGACGTGGCATCATAGCCTGGTGGCAGATTAAGGCAGCAGAGTTAGAGGACAAAACCAAAAATTTGAGTTATCTAGATAAACAGCACATTGAACTGGCCTAGTGGAGATGAAGAAGTTGATTGAAGAATAGAGACTTCACTTGGCATCCATCCTGAGGGCTCTGTAAGTGATCTAAAACAAGTCCCACAGCACCTGAAGCTCTTGTCTGTGTTGTCCCACTTGTCTATGTTTTTCAGGCTTTCAAGAGGCAAACCCCCTTTTTACAAACATCAAAATCTCATATCCTCTATTTATGGTATAGATTATGGTAATCGTTTCGTAGTTGTATACTTATCTCCAAATTTATCAAGTTATATACATTAAATATGTACAGCTATTTCATGTCAGTTATACTTCCATGAAGTGGTGTTTTTAACAAATATAAAAAATAAAATTTTGTATTTTCATTTAATACAGAATTGTATAAAATATAGGTATTTCTGCTTTTTGAGATATATAATTATATTAAATGTAATGTGTCAATCTATACCAGTCATTCTCAGATAATGCACTTTGCCCTTCTATGATCGTCTTCTAGACTCTAATAGTCAATGGATATGTCTTTCTAGGTGATTATAGGTGCTAATTTAATTAGCTGTTATGCTGCTGCATGCTAGCAATGTAGATTGGATGAAAATTGTCAACTGTAGATTTTGATTTGGGAGCCAACCCCATAGACACTTGCTTTTTTGCCACAGTTTCCAGAGTTCCGATTTCCCAAAGAAACAAATCTGATTGTATCACATACTCACTTTCTAAACCCTCACCTCCTTCCCATGGCCTTAAGGATGAATTCCAAACCTAATGCAACAAACACAATCCTTCACAGTTGGCCCAAACTTGCTGTTTTAATCGCACCCCCCATGACTAACATATTTTTTACAAAACCTGAGCTCTAACCAAAATGAGCCTCCTGTCCATTTATGACTTGTCTGCACAGTCTATTATCTCTACCAGGAATAAAAGCACGTTCTTTGCTCCCTGTTGCAAAATGTGTGCTCTTTCTTTGCAATTCTGCTCAAAGTTCACAACTTTTCTTGGGCCCTCCACAACTCCTCTAAGCAAAAATGGCCACACTGTCCGCTCCCCACCCCCCACATATCCTTCTATAGCATTCATCAAATTCTGTTTCTAGATAACCCCTTACATATCTGTGTCTTCCTTTCCACAGGAACATCCTTGGAGACAGGACTTCTTACTCATTTTTTTCCCAAATAAGAATCCAATAAATGTTTGTAGAGTAATAAATGAGTCAATGAATGAATGAGAAGTGAGATCCATAAGGAGAAAAATGCATGTCTGAGGGGACGGAGGGTATGTGAACCCCTACACTAGTATGCTCACCTATTCATAAGAGCACTGATCCTCTGTGAAAGCTGAAGTGTTTTCTGGTTGAGAACAGAAGCTCTTACAGTACCTTGAAACTGTACTAGCAGTAGATTCAAATGTGTTTGAATTTATAATGGTTCATGAAGTAACTATTACTTAGAAAGAAAGATTGTTTACTTTTTTAAATCTCCTTTTTAACAAACACTTACATGACACTTACCACGTGCCCACTACTGTTCTAAGCACTTTACAACCATTAACTCATGTAATCACCACAACTGTCCTTGTAAGGCAGATGCTATTATTATCATCCTCATTTTACAGATGGGTAAACTGAGTCACCATATACTCATGTGAATTCCCTAAGCTCTGACAATCAGCAAGTAAGAGCTAACATTAGAATACACACCAGTGGCTTTAAAGTCCACTTTGATTGTTAATTGATTCATTCACCATCAGACTGTGCCTACAGTGTTTATGTAGTCTAATAACCCAATTAAGGAAAATGGACATTGAAAGAGCAACTGACCAAAGCTATACATAATACCATCGCATCTAATTCATGACAGAATTGAAATTGTCCTCCACATATTCTGACGTTCAGAGTTGAAGGTCTTTCCTTTTGTTATGTATGAGGCATTGTGCTAGATGCAAAAGGAGAATCAGGATGAGAAAGACACAATCCCTGCCCTCAAGATGCCTGTAGTTTATACATAAGTTGCTCTTCCAAGCAGAATAAGATCTTCAAAAGTATTATCAACACATTATTGTAATTCAAAGGTGAGCAAAACAGCATCTTATTGTAGAGCTTAGAAAAGACTTATAAGAAGACCTTGAATTTAAGGAGACCCATGAAGTTTAAGTAAAACTATTTAACGAGAGCTGGATCATGGGAATGTGAAAGGTGTGTTTGGGAGAAGAGAAGTCCTCTGACCCACCTGGAGCACGCAGGAAAGTTGGGGAGAGGGGGCAGCAAGGTTTGAATGATGTCTTTCTCTGAACCACAGTCACACATTCCTGACAGAAATTTATGTCTTGTTGCCATAGCAACTGGAAACCATCAAAGACCTTGGAGCAAGGAAACACCAGGATCAGAACTGCCCTAGATTCAATAAGAGATCTCTATGAAACTTTCGGGGATTAAAAAACTGGGGTAGCTGTAAAAAGCAGAAATAATAATGGGCATCAATTTATATGGCTCAATTCAAATTAGTTTGCAACTAATGAGAACAACTGTCCCCAAATGGTTCCACATACTTCAGCAGGGAGAATATTAATGTGTGATTGGAAAAAAAATAAATTTTTAAAATCATACCAGTTGGCTATTACGAGATAGATAAAATAACATATGTGCATGCTTGAATTAGGGTAAGCAGAGAAAGAGGCCGTTCCTATATTACATCAATGCAAACTGTATACTGAGTCAGCAGAACTAAAAAGTTCGTTAAGTACAAATGAATTAATCAAATCAATTAGCACCAAGTCAATGGAGCAACCGGTGCTGTGACAGTTTTTGTTATTCCAATTTTTGTTTTACCTTCAGCTGGAAAGAGGCTTAAGGAAGCTCTTCTAGCTCATGGTATTGGAAATACAGCCAAATCCAAATCAAGTTTATCTACAAATTCCTGCTTTAGCCATGCGATCATTAAATTGAACACTTATATTCAAAACAATGGTTGCAAATAATATTTCAAATATATTACTATGCAGAGGTTAATATGGTGGTTTATTATAATATACTGAAAAACAAATCCCCATCTCAAAAGGGCAAAGTAATGTTTTTTGGACCTAATAGGGAAAGAGAAAAAAAACTTTATATAGGAAATAACAATTGGGCAGATGGACTTTAACAAAAGAGAAATCAAAGCCTGAAAGAATGATGAAGACTTCTCAGTAACTAGGAAACACTTTAATTTTGCAAGTCTCAAACTGGTAATTTTACTGATACCCAATAAGATACATTTAGTTGTGGAAAATGATTTATTTTTGCATTCAATTAATTACACTTCAGGCTTCAACTGACCTATTTTTAACAGTAAGCACAGCTGCTTATGTTCATAAATCTAGAAATAAGCCTAGTGCTCCGTCAGCACTTTTGAGTTATAAACTTGGTTTCTGCTACCTACAAATTAAAAAAAAAAGAAAAGCCTTTATTAAATCATTGGTGCCAAAGAAGGCAAGGCTAAAATTCTACTCAAACTTTCTACCTAATTCCAGGAACATATGTTAATCCCAACCCAGAAAATGTTAAAGCTAACAAAATTCTTAGATTACCTCATCCCCACTGGATTTTGTCTGGTTAAGAAAACATTTCCTAAGGGGCTGAGTTAGCAGCCACTACATGCTTAAATGCCATTAACTCAAAGGAAAAAATTCAGAAAATATCTAAGGAAATATATGCATTCATACATAGACATACAGAAACCACACAAATAGGCACTAAACCACATACTCAGAATTTTAAAGAAGTCATGCAAAACTGAAATGGCCAAAAATGTAACATTAGTTGAATCTATCATGCCAGGATCCTAATAAAAACAGCTCCTGAATGGGCTGTTTAATGTGAAATCATGTAGACAGAGCAGGATGATTACTTGAGAGCTGAATGAAGACTGTTGAGTATATTGTTTACACATCACTAAAATATGCTGAGGCCAGGTGCAGTGGCTCACACCTATAATCCCAGTGGCAGTATTCCTTGAGCCCAGGAGTTCAAGACCAGCCTGGGCAACACAGCAAGACTTTGTCTCTACAAAAAGTCAAAAACTTAGCTGGATGTGGTGGTGCACACCTGTGGTCCCAGTTACTCAGGAGGCTGAGTTGGGAGAATCATTTGAGCCCAGGAGATCAAGGCTGCAGTGAGAGTGAACCTGCCACTGCACTCCGAACTGGGCAACAGAGCAAGACCCTATCTCAGGAAAAAAAATAAAGAAAATTATATATATATATATATATATATATATATATATATATATATATATATATATACACACACACATATATATACTGCTATTTTTAATAATAAGTAGTACATGAGAATAAGTCCAATGAAGTTCTGTGGTTAATGACTGGTTTCTCTCACCCAAGCTCAGCAGTCAGAGTCTTCCCCTGGAATGAGAAGGTAACATCTCAGCATGATCCTCTTCTTTCTACAGCATGGGTCTGGCTGATCTCTGTCTCTCGTTGTCTCCGTCTTCATGCTTAGCTCCTCCACAGCAAACTAACCACTTCCTTGTACTAAGCCAACATGTTATCATTTGTCTGAAATTGTTCTATGTCCAATGCTTAAGTATATGCTTTCTTCCTTAGCCATCAATAGCTCTTGTTTTCTATTTCTGCTTCTTTTGATACTGCCTTTTGCTGTTATTTCTAATTACAACAATTAGGAAATCTGTACAATGCTGGAACCACAAGAGGTATGACAATCCTGAGTAATTTCTGTGGAATGGAAATGTGTTTTACAAATGCCTCCTGCAATGACTGTCAGAGAATACATTCTGTATTTTTTCATAATTTTAAAATCAGAAAACAATGTATTTTGGAGGCAACATGGAAGATGTCTTTTCCAGTGATTAAAAAAACCTTTTTTTCTCTTGTTGCATTCTATCACAAGTAACAGAGTGGCTAAAGTAGGATGTTATAGTTTCAAAATTTCAAATTCACAATGTGTGGATAACATATTAACTTGTTTTCTTTGGGAAATGTTTGAAAGCACAGGAACTGCATTGAGTAGATAACATCATTACTTGTTCTTAGCAGATGACTCAGTATGTATTTATCGAACAACTATCATGCATTGAGCAACAACAACAATGTATAAGTCATTGGGAGGTTATGCAAAAAATACAAGATAAGATCTGTGCTCTTATAAAATTGATTATCTGTGTATGAGGATAAGAAACAAATTCATGAAAAGATAAACAACATGAATGCGAAATGAAGGGTATCAAGCCTTGTATTTACTTAGCACTTTACAGAGTACTCCCACATTCATTACTGTATTGAATTCTTACACATTAAGCTCATAAGAGAGACAACTTTATATTACAAAAGAAACGACTAAGATTCAGAGAGTGAAGTTAGTTGTTCAAAGACATAGTTAATAAACAGCAGAGCTACAATTTTTTTTTAATTTTTTAAGTTATTTCAGTGCCAAATATAGTTTTTTTCCCCTATTATATCACTCTATGGAAAGTCTAGTCAGGAAAATAGAGATCATGCCAAGAAAGTTCATAGAAGGAATTTGATTGGCAAAACTAATTACAAAGGTATTGCAAGAGCATGAGGGCCAACAGGGAAAGGTGAGGAATGCCAAAGATGAGCAACAGCCAATGTCACCTCTGGGCCTGCAAGGAAATGGAGATGGTGTTGCCAAATTATGGTTGTCTGGGGCCCACTGGAGGGAATGAGTGCTATGGTGGAAGTACTATGGTAGGGCTGAGATCATGAGATGGGCTGCCTGGAGGAAGCTGGAACCCCAGAGTAGTTATTACCTGAATCAGATGGAAGAGAGTTTAGAGGGATTTTTTTTAAAGTAAGACTCTGGGACCATAGAATGAGTACTTAGTAGAAGCATCAAGAGGTAAACTTAATCCAACACAGAGGTAACATTCCAGGGGCTGAGTCTTGAGAAGAAAAATAGAAATCCCTTCTTTATCACTGAAAAATAAACAATTTCTGTCCAGATTAGGAAATCAAAATCTCCAAAGGCTATGGATTGGATGGCGATGTCTGGACTAATTAATTAGCAATTGTATAAGCTCTGGCCTGGCCATTGTGGTCTTTGCAAGAGGCACACCTTTTTATACACTCAAGATTGTGGTTATGGTGTCCCCTCTGTGGTCGCTGTGAATGTGGGATACAGAACGACAATGCTACAGCTGATTTCTCACAGAAGTAACATCTTCTCCAATGTCAGCGGGCTAGACAACCATGTGAGAATTTGCCACAGGCTCCTCACTTTCTCTCCCTTTCCAGCCTCCCTCCAACACCTCCCATTGGCATAACATGGAGGAAAGCCATTTGCCAAGGGAGTCTGGCAAAGACAGTTTGCAAAGGCCAGCCCTCTGAGATACAGAACACAGCAGAGAAAGAGTGGAACATGAGTCTCTGCATGAAAAGGACATTTTATTACAATTGAATGAATGAAATACTCCAATTTCGTTGAAAGTGAAAAAGAAAAATTATAGCACTTGGGAGTTGCAGAAAGAAAAAGTCATTATGCTAAGACAGAAATGGCTTTTTGGTGAAAATGGTCTTTGATGTAAGTCTTGAATAGCATTTTAGAAACATATAGAAAAAAAGGGATGATATGGTAGGACAGAAAGAGAGTGAGAAAATTTACAGAATCCAAGACTATAAAAAAAAAAGCAATGTCCAGGAATAATGAATAGCCCAAGTCAATGAGTAAAGAAGGTGATAGAAACATTGGAAGTGATTGGGAAAACAGATTGTACATTAAGGAGAGACTCAAAGTATAAACCAAGTGATGGATGTTAAGCTCATGCAATGTGCAGAGGCAATAGCAAGAAATCTGGTAACCTAGGAGAATGAGACTGTGGAAATGACATGAAGCCCAAACAAACGTGTTAGATCGAGCAAAATGTTGACCACTCAACATCTGAATCTATCTGCTTCTCTCTCTCTGCACATCTGAGAGCTCACCCATGATATATCACATTACATTTCTAACAAGTCTCCCCACAGCTTCTCTTTTGTACCATCAACATTCTATTCCACAGAACAACCAGCATGATCTTCTAAATGTTTAACTCAATCCAGTCATCCCTCTGCTTAAAATGCTTCACGGGGCCGGGCATGGTGGCTTACGCTTGTAATCCCAGCACTTTGGGAGGCCGAGGTGAGCAGATCACCTGAGGTCAGGAGTTTGAGACCAGCCTGACCATTATGGTGAAACCCCGTCTCTACTAAAAATACAAAAATTAGCCAGACGTAGTGGCAGGTGCCAGTAATTCCAGCTACTTGGGAGACTGAGGCTGGAAAATCGCTTGAACCCGGGAGATGGAGGTTGCAGTGAGCCGAGATCAGGCCATTGCACTCCAGCCTGGGTGACAGTTAGACTCCATCTCAAAAAAAAAAAAAGCTTCACTGGTCCCCTACTCATGTAAGAGACCAGAATCCTTAACACATCCCCGTGACAGTTCCCTTGATCTGATCCTTCTTCCTCTCCACCTCTTTTCATACCACACTTTCTCTTGATCTTTCTACTCTAAGCAAATGGCAGTTCTTTCAGTTCCTCAGCTACGCCGCCTGAGTCAAGGCAGCTGTTGCCTTTGCCAGGAACATTTTCCTCCTGCCTCATCATCCCACATAACCCAGGAACCTAATTCTTCAAACTTCACGTCAAAAGCCTTTTCTTCGGGGAAACCCTGCCTGACTACCCAGACTAGATCATTCTCTTGGTTATATACTTTTATACTACCTTAGTAAATACTATCACTGTTGAAATTGAATAAGGAAGGAAGAGGATGCCAGAGAAGGAGGAGTCAAAAACTATCCCCATATTTCTTCCTGGCATAGTAATCAAATGGTAGAAAGAACTCAGAAGAGGGAAGAGATTGGACGAGGAAGGTCAGGAATTGAGGCTTGGACATGTGGAGCTAGAGATTCTTTATGACAAGCAAATGAGATGACCAGATAAGAGGTTTGATGTCCTGGTCTGAGGCGCAGAGGGGAGATCAGATCATCACATCAGAAGTTTTTATGACTTAGGGTCTAAGCTGGTCATACCCAAGCTGGGGCTCACCATCTTCCACCAGAGTCTATATGACCCTCAACTATAGCATGAATTCTCTTGCCACTTACACTTTCTTCCTAGGTGATCTCTTCCTCTTCTCCGGTTTTAAACTGTGTCTTCAAAAAGATAGTCCTAAATTTCAGACTCCAGGCTGATTTCTCCTCAGGGCACCAGGATCTGGAGGGAGTGGCAGTATTTTGAAACACACTAAGAAATGAGAGAGCATTCTAGGAATGTGTTGCAGAATTTGAAGTCAAACTGGCAAATAAAAACCCAGCTACCAAAAATAACAATTATAGATTATGTGCATCATCAATGATCATTTCTATATTTCTAAACCATGGTAAGTATTATGAGAAAAATGAAGAGAAAATAACAAGCAGAAACCTACTTTTTTTTAGTTGCTCAGAGGGCCACACAACGTCTTTCTCAAACAAGATGAACCTGAGAGAGGAGAAGGAGCAGGTTTCCAAGGGTAATATGTTTGGACAAGGGCAAGAAGGAAGAATCAGGTGAAAAAGAAAACTATTTCAGACAGAAATGCAGCATGGATGAAGTCACCGAGATGAGAAAGGTCAGAGCAGGCTTGAAAGACAGAAAAAGTGCGTATGAGGGAGAGAACATGTGGCACCCAGTGAGGCTGGAAAGGAAGCAGGAAGGAGGTTATGAGGGTCTTCCCAGCTCACCGTCACCTTGAAACCCACTCACAGCTTGGCCTAGATGGCCCTTCCCACCTGCCTCCATCTTTCTCTGTGGGTTGATCTCTTACCACTTCCCAATACACCCTATGCTGTACCTCTTCTTTACCTTTGCTGGAATGCCCTCTTCTCTTACTCCCCTTTCTCTACCTTTCAATCTTTCTCTCATCTTTCAAGCATTAACCGAAATAGCAAGCAGAGATGGTTGCTCCATCCTCTGGTATCTGTCGTATAATATTTGTTTATACTTCTATTTTCATGCTTGCTGCAATATATATGTAATTGACCTTTTATAGGCTACTAAAATATGATCTTCTCTAGTTCTTTTTGAACTAAAACACTCCTACTATCCTACTATTAACCAAATACATGTTATTTATCTTTGTATCTTCAATGCCTAGTCTTGGCAAGTACTCAATAAATATTTCTTGAAGATGACACATTTGTAGGCAAGAGATTATTATTAATGGACTAAAATTTGTTTGGGCAGATGTAAACTGTATGAATTACATCAAAACAAATAGTGATAATCTATTCCGTGTTTTAAACTCTCTGCAATAAGGGCTGACATAATTTGCATTTTCTGACCTGAAAGAATTTTGTGCTTTTTGTTCACCACTATTCTAAGACAGATAATGACTTCCTAAGCTAGTCTGGGTCTTTGAAACATTAACATAAATGTCTTATTTTGCTTCCTTTGATTCCTGCTTTCTGTTTCCCATCTCGTATTCATGACCTGTTACTTCATCATTTGCATGATAATCTGAAAATAGGGAGAGCTGGTGTGGTAGAGTGGACAGAACAGGGGCTCTAGAGACCAGTTTACTTGCCTCCCGTGTCGTTGTCAAACTATGTGAAAAAGCAATGGCTTTCACTACCATCTAGTTCCACTTACATAGCAGAATTAGGGAACTTTTTTCCTGTCATATTACATTATCCCTCTGGCAGTGACAGGTAGAGCTATCAGGTGTCCTGGCAATTGAAAAGGGGAGTATCCATATAGGTAGTTTTGGATGGAATTCAGAAAAATAAAAGGGCACAAGTCAATAATTATCTTGAAAGGATCATATCAGGCAGCCATGAAGAAAAGTTTTGTAGGTCCTTACACAGCTAATGTGCAGGCTTCTTCTGGGTGGCTATAGGGCATCAAAGTCATTGACTGGGTACTTGTACACTCACTTCCTACTTTTGGTCACAAAAAATGCAGGGAAGTCCCTTAATACTGACTTGACTCTCCAAGTGACCCTCAAGGTTGATCCACACCTCCAAGGACACACCAACCTCCTCCAAGGTCAAATCCCACCCAAATCTCTTTCCTCGCCCCAGCCAACATGCCCTCACCTCATCTCCTAGCAAGTTGGACTCTTGAGAATTTTTCCATCCCCTTTCCAATGCATTGTTACAATATAAATTCTATATCCTGCCTCCTTCAAGAATCTTCCCTTTTTATGCTCAAGAGGATTTCTTCTCAGCAAAATCAGGCTCTTGTAGACATTGATAGATTCTTTCTCTTGAATTTTTGATACAATAATCACAATTTATCTCAAGGTAAAGTGGATGTACAAGGAAGTGCTGAAGAGAAAAGCACATTAATAAATAGACAGCATTTCAAAGATTATCTTCCTTTGTATGTAAGTTCTCAGTCTTATTTACCTATATTAAAAATTGAAATATCTGCCTTTTCTGCCTCATGGGATTGTTGTAACAGTCACAAGAGATAATTTATAAAAATATCTTAAAAAATCAAAAACTAACAGATGTTGGCATGGATGAGTTGAAAAGGAAACACTTCTTTTACACTGCTGGTGGGAATGTAAATGAGTACAACCATTATGGAAAACAGCATAGAGATTCCTTAAAGAATAAAAGTAGAATTACCATGTAATCCAGCAATCCCACTACTGGTTATCTACCCAGAGGAAAAGAAGTGATTATATGAAAAAGATACTTTCACAAGCATATTTATAGCAGCACAATTCGCAATTGAAAAAGTATGGAACCAGCCTACATGCCCATAGAACAACAAGTGGATAAAGAAAACATGGTGTATATACACCATAGAATACTACTCAGCCATAAAAATGAATGAAATAATGGCATTTGCAGCAACCTGGATGGAGGTGGAGAGCATTATTCTAAGTGAAGTACCTCAGAAATAGAAAACCAAATGTCGTATGTTCTCACTTACAAGTAGGAGAAAAGCTATGAGGACGCAAAGGCATAAGAATGATATAATGGTCTCTGGGGACTCAGGGGGAAGGATGGACAGGGGTGAGGGATAAAAGACTACACATTGGGTACAGTGTACACTGCTCAGGTACAGGTGCACCAAAATCCCAGAAATTACCACTAAAGAACTTATCCATGTAACAAAAAAACCAACCCTTCCCCAAAAACTATTGAAATTTTTAAAAAAATTTAACTTAAAATAATTTGTGTGTACATATATTAGTGGAGCCTCATATTAGGTGGGGATTCGGTTCCCAAAGAACAAGGTAAAAATTCTATATGGTTAAAAAAGATTACTCTTGAACATTTCTCAAATTGTCAATAAAGAATAGCCTATGAGGTTTTGTGCCTAAACCTGTACTTTCATTCTGAGGCAAACTAAATGTTAAGAACCACTGAGCTAGATGGAAAGAACAAAAGAGAAATCTATATGTGTATTTTCAGGCATTCAAAGCATTTTATATTTAAGAAAGCTACCAAGCCCTAGAGAATAGCTAGAAAATAGGCAGAGAATTTTAAATGTTGTCTTTTGCCTGCCAGGTTCAGTCCATTTCCGTTCATGTTAAGCCACTGTAATATTAATAGATTTGTTTTGGTTGTAAAGATGAAAGAAACTATTATCTAAACTTTTGCATTCTTCTATAACCATAAATATCAGGAGACACCACTGCAACACCCTAACTGGGCTACACCTCTCACTACACAAAAACAATGGTGCCAATCATTTAACGACTTCTTACTCTTAGAATCTTATTTTCTTTTGGACTCAGATACCAATAACTCATTTCTCACTTAAGTGCCAGACCATGGTGACAGCTTATAAGGCTCTCCTCACAACGTGGACATGGCTAGTAGGCATTATTCTCTAATTACAACCATCTGACACTTAAGACCTATAGAGAGCTCTGGTGCCATTTATCTGGAAAGTTTTGGATGAGTGTAGAAAAGTTGAAAGTAAAACCTTTCTAGAAATTACAGCTAAAGAATTGGCCAGACCTTTCAAAACTGAAATGACCTCTTTCCCTATTAGTGGCAAAATAGGGAAATGCATGGCCTACATTTAGGAATCACTGCCGCTTTATTGTGCTATGTAAACAAAGATCCACCTTGTAAAAACTAGGGTTTTTACCTTACCTTAAATAGCACTAAAAGCTGCTCATCTAATGGCCATTAGGAATATGGTTTTCTACAATCCCATAGCTCTAAATTCCACCCTAGCCAGCATAGGAAGAGTGTGAGCTCTGAATAGCAAAAAATATGCACACTCCCAAAAAGGAATGGCCAAAGGTTGAGGAATAGGAACAAGGAAGGTAGATGTTTCCATAAAGGTGTAGAGAGATCTTCATTTTGATGGAACTATCTGTATCTTGATTGCAGTAGTAGTTACACAAATCTGCACATGTGATAAAATTGCTTGGAACTTTATATACACACAGTGAGTGCCTATAAAACTAGTGGAATATGAATAAATTCTTTGGATTGGACTAATGTCAATTTTCTGGTTTGGATATTATACTATATAGTTGGCAAGAGATTACCACTGAGGGTGACTGGATAAAGAATACATGGGAACTAATTCTAAATCCTAAAGACCTTTACTTTTGCTAATTAGTAGTCATAAGTTGCTATATTTAATTTTTCCAGCATCAAAAGCTATATGAACAGCTTTGTCATTTTGTCAATAGAAAAGCTTTAGAATTAACTTTTTCTCATTTTTTTCATGAAGGTATATAAAATGATGACTCTGATAGATCTATAACCCTAAAACTATATGTATAAGTGATTTTTTTAGTCCATCAATACCCTGCATCATTTTTCTCTACATGTGGCTCCCCAACCATTTGTATCAGGGAACTTGTTAGAAATGCAAATTCTGTGTCCCTCCCAGACCTACTCCTGGTGGACTGGGGAAGGGCAGGGAATCTATGTTTAACAAAAATCCTCCACATGATCTGATGCACAGTAAGATTTGAGAACCAATGCTCTGCACCGTCATTGCTGTAAGATATCTGGCAACGTTCACACTAAAAAGAGAAAGCACTACAAACACACATGCGATTTTAATCTGTGCTGAAGGACCCTCTCTGTTGTGCCTCCAACATATGTGAATTCCTGATAATCCCTGAAGACTCAAGCCCATCCTGCCAGGTCATAGAACTCTGATTGCTAATTTTAGCACAATTCTTAGAAATTCCATCAAGAATATGGAATGTAGACAAAGTCTGATTCCCTGATATACATTATAATTATGTTCAACTAGTGTTTGAAAATCATCGACTTTGCGATTGGGATTAACTTTACATCCTTACCTTATAATTCCCTCAATAAATATTCATTGATTATACTTTTCCATACTTCCCTGTTTAACACTAGAACGTCTTAAGAAAACCCGCTAATTTCCATGACTAACAGAGCACTCTGATACAGGTAATTCAAATCGAATCCATAATCGCAGTCCTTTCTGTTTAACCTACAGCCAAGCACATGATCTTTCATTTGTTTATTCTAAGGACAGTAGATTTTCTTCTTAATTATCCTTTCTCAGGCTAATAGTAGTATGAGTTCACAGTGCTAGAATGGGACTAGTTAACCTTGAACATTCTCAATCATACTAACAAGAAAAGAGAGCCCTAAAACTAGTTACAATTAATTCCTAAAATGTGTAAACCATTGGTGAAAACTGAGGCTAAACTGAGCTTTTGACAGTTTCACTCTAGCCAGTCAGCGTCCTACCATGGGACGTCACCCAGCGGCTGGATTTGATCCACCTCCACATTCATGCCAGATGCAGAACTCTTCACTTGAGACACTTCCTAAAATAATGTATCTTGCTTCATCAGAGAAAGCACATTGAAACTCTTTGATCAGATAATCATACCACATTGTCCCAAATGCTTTAAAATTAATTAATTAATTACAATCAAATATACCCAGGCTGTTTGAATGTAAGCCCTTAAAATGTAGGAATCTCAGAGAAAAAATGAAAGAATAGCTGTGGTCCCACACAGTGACTATTCCCTGTAGTTACCAATATTCAAACAAGTAAGAATAATACTGTAATTCACGTGTAATTTCTGGATGCCTCAAGTGAACAAAAGAAGTACACATATGGCTAGGCACAGTGGTTCACACCTGTAATCCAGCATTTTGGGAGGCCAAGGCGGGTGGATCACGAGATCAGGAGATGGAGACCAGCCTGGTCAACATGGTGAAACCCCGTCTCTACTAAAAATACAAAACATCAGCTGAGCATGGTGGCGTGCACCTGTAGTCCCAGCTACTCGGAAGGCTGAGGCAGAGGAATCGCTAGAACTTGGGAGGCAGAGGCTGCAGTGAGCCGAGATCGCACCACTGCGCTCCAGCCTGGCCACAGAGTGAGACTCCATCTCTTAAAAAAAAAAAAAAAAAAAAAAAAAAAGAAGTACCCATATTTACGAAATTCAGGCCTGAAAGCTATGCATTGAGAAACATTCAACTCTTAGCAGACATCCACCTGTAAGGTAAATAAACTATGAAAGAAAAAAAATTAGGATAAGGTGAGTAGGGACTATGAACAGGAATTTCATGTGGTAAAAGTATTCTGCAAAATGGTGATACGCTTCAGGCAAACAATGAGAACAAAACTTACTCTGTTGTTTTTTTTTTTTCCAAAAAATTTTTTTCATTATTTTTATTGTAAAAATCAATATATGCTCATTGAGGTAAAATTCAGAAAGTAAAATTAAGTCAAAAATAAATAAATATAAGTACCCATAAAATTCTCAAAAGGGAAAGTGAGAATGATCTTGCTAAGTCTTTCACAATTATATGAAATATAACAGTGAAATATAATATTATATCCTGAGAGACGTCATGCTGGATAGCAATTTAAACAGAAAAAATGCAGTCCTTATTACAACAAAATTACTTTTCCATAAAGCACCACAGCAAACAAATACAGGAACCCAAATGGAACAATGAAATAATGAGATCACTGTGCCTCATTATTTATAACAGCTGAAATTTGTATTTGCTATGAGAAAAGCAATTATGAGCAATAAAGGAAGTATGATTGTAGCATGCACCTTCATTAATTCACTCAAAAAAATCTGTATTAAGTGTCTGTGAAATGCTGGAGATACAGCAGTGAGCAAGAAACGAAGTCTCTGCTCCTAGGAAATCTCACGAGCTGATGGGTAAGACTGGGGCTGGATTTACCTGAAGCCAGTGAAGAAAAGCTTCAGGTCCACTCCCTTGCACAGTGCTTTCTGCGACATTTTCTACCTCATTTTGTACAATAAGTCAGAAAGTTCTTGAAAACAGCGACTTTAAGCTGAATGACATACCACAAATCCAACTTTACACTGACAAATTGATGTAAACGAGAGGGAAGTTTCTACTGCATATTTCTGGTCACAAAAGCATCAGCAAACTCCTAAATAAAAACCAAAACACTCCTGCTATTAACCAAATAAATGTTAGCTATGCAAATATTTAATAGACATACATATATGTAATAATTAATAAATATATTTAATAAAAATAAGATAATTATTTACCCAATTATTCCAGCTCAGGGTCGTGATTAGCCAGAGCCAATCTCAGCAGCTCAGGGTACAAGGTTGGGGAGCCAGGCTTGGACAGGACAACAACTCATCACGGGGTTCACTCACACTCACACCCACACTCGCTCACACTGGGACAATGTGGATGTACCAGTTCACCTAATGTGCACGTCTTTGGGATTGGAAGGCAACCTGAGAACCCAGAGAAAACCCTGCAGATCGGGGGAGAAGGTGCCAGCTCCACACAGACAGTGATCCCTCTGGGAGTCAGTGTTTTTGCTCATCAGTGTTATTATGAAATGATGTTGAACAAAACAGCATTATTCAAGGACTTGCTGTACTCATAATTTCAAATTATTTTCTTTAAAAGGATCACCAGAATCGTGTTAGCTTTAGACCCCACAAAACCTGGATTTGCTCTCGAATTAGATAATAGTGAACAACTAAAAATATAAATAAACAAGATACTTTCAGGTACTGACAAGGGCTCCGCAGGAATGAGAATAAGCTGATTTAATACAGAATGGCAGGGCTATTTTTAAAAAGGAGATCAGGGAAGAACTTATGAACTGAGACCTAAATGAAAATGCCTTAGATGAATTTAGAAAAGCAACAGCCAAAAATGTTTAAACATTACTTTGCATTGAATTTATTTACACACTTAACAGGGACTAGATAAAAATTTTATTATTGTAGAATGATGTTAAATTTAGAAAGATTAATTATAACTGCAGAAGTTAAACCCTGCTTATATTTTGTTTTCCACAGGTTAGCACAGCAGAACTCATGAAAATGGATCTCTTTTATGACTTGCAGACTTAGCAATAAATACATTGGTATTTGTTTCAGTTATCTTTATTCTAAAGTCTCATGACTCTTCTACAGACATTTTAATATTTAAAAATGAATACAAATACAAATATATATACATACATATATACGTGTATATATATACACACACATACACATATATACATACTTCTTGAGACTACTTTAGCAAGCCTAGTGACCTACATCACTCTGAATTAAAATATAATGTGTGTGTATGTATGTGTATCTAATTCTAGTTTTATAATTGTTTTGATTATCATTATTACCTATACACCTGGGGAAATAAGCAGAAAAAAAGTTTATATTGAAAATAAGAGGCCGGGCACGGTGGCTCACGCCTGTAATCCCAGCACTTTGGGAGGCCGAGGCGGGCGGATCACGAGGTCAGGAGATTGAGACCATCCTGGCTAACACGGTGAAACCCCGTCTCTACTAAAACTACAAAAAATTAGCTGGGCGTGGTGACAGGCGCCTGTAGTCCCAGCTACTCGGGAGGCTGAGGCAGGAGAATGGCGTGAACCCGGGAGGCGGAGCTTGCAGTGAGCCGAGATCGCACCACTGCACTCCAGCCTGGGCGACAGAGCGAAACTCTGTTTCAAAAAAAAAAAGAAAGAAAAAGAAAATAAGGGGTAGGACTAATGTTCATGTAGTCTTTAAATGACTTTAATATCCTCTCCTGTAAATGGGATAATTAGGAAGTAGGAAATGGTTGGCTTCTAAACATTTTTCAGCTCTAATAGCAATATAAAAATATTAACTATGGTAGTTTATATTCATACTCGCCAACTAGGAGATTATATATATATATATACACACACACTCTCTCTCTCACACACACACGTGTGTGTGTGTGCGTGTGTGTGTGTTTTAGAGACAGTCTCAATCTATTGCCCAGGTTGGAGTGCTTACTGCAGCCTTGACCTCCTGGGCTCAACCAATCCTCTAACCCCAGCCCCTCAAATATAGCTAGAACTACAGGCATGTGACACCCTGCCAGGCTAATTTGTTTATTTTTTGTAGAGACAGGGTCTCACCATGTTGGCTAGACTGGTCTGGAACTCCTGGGCTCAAGCCATCTGCCTCCCAAAGTGCTGGAATTACAGGCGTGCACCACTGTGCCCAGCCTACAGAAATAGAAATACTTTGCTTAAGTTAGGGGTCTTTCACCTCTACCTTTTTTTCTCCATAAAAATGTTTTTGTCAGCCAGGCGCTGTGGCTCATGCCTGTAATCCCAGCACTTTGGGAGGCTGAGGCAGGCAGATCACAAGAACAAGAGATCGAGACCATCCTGGCCAACACTGTGAAACCCGGTCTCTACTAAAAATACAAAAATTAGCTGGGTGTGGTGGTGAGTGCCTCTAGTCCCAGCTACTCAGGAGGCTGAGGCAGGAGAATCACTTGAACCTGGGAGGCGGACGTTGCAGTGAGCCAAGATTGCGCCACTGCACTCCAGCCTGGGGGACAGAGAGAGACTCAGTCTCAAAAAAAAAAAAGGTTTTGTTCTGTGTAAAATGCTGACACTACTACATCTGTACTTCTGAATCCCCAAGTAAACATTTATAAGCATTTTCTCACCTAGTATTAACTTCCAAATCAAGGCATTTCAAGCTGAGATCTACGTGCAACATATTCATGTTGCTAGAATCAATTAATCAAAATTACTTCCATCAGACTCGCATCTAATTCCAGAATTGTGATTTTCTTTGTAATAATGAGAAGCATATGGAGGTCTCAATGATGTCTACTACAGTTGAAGAGGAGAATAAATAAAAAGAAAAACAGAATGAGAAAGATCAAGAGTCACAGGGAAAAAGGAGAGGCGGAAAGAATAACAGAGAGACCAATCTGCACAGGGAAGGAGAAGCTCGGGACTGAGAAGGCAGCCACTCTGAGTCTTTCTTTGGCTTTTCTTCTATCAGTGAGCTGAACTCCTACTCACTTTTTAGTACAATGATCAACTCCATTGCTGGTGCCTTGAATTCACTCCTGAGGTCAATGGCAGTCTTGTGTCTTATTTCCTTCCAACTATGCACCATCTAATTGTCTGTGGCCCTCAGTTGTAAGGCAAACAAATCCCTAATCCATTATTCAATATCTGGACTCCTCCAGGTGTTTGAAGGTGTCTAGGTTAGCGGTCCCCAAACTTTTCGGCACCAGGGATTGGTTTCATGGAAGACAATTTTTCCATGGACCATGGTGGGGGATGGTTTTGGAATGATTAAAGCACATCACATTTATTGTGCACTTTGTTTCTATTATTATTATGTTGTAATATATAATGAAATAATTATACAACTCATCATAATGTAGAATCAGTGGAAGCCCTGAGCTGGTAACTAGAGGGTCTCATCTGGGTGTGATGGAAGACAGTGACACCCCAAGTCTGTTGCTTATGTCCAGTCTACTCTGAAATCTTGTTTTGGTTGCTGTCACTACAGAAAACTGTCCTTCACAAAGTAAGAAGCTGGAAATGAAGCAGGCTTTTCAGTGCTTCTGTGGCCATCTCAGGATGTTTCACCTCGGCTTTAACCCAGAACATATGGAGATTTGAAGTTGTCTCAAACATGCTTTCACGGCCACTGTCATTTGCAATCTCAAGCCGTTAATCCTCTTCTAGCATGGACAAAGTGGATTCCTCTGGTTTATTTACAAATGGGAAGCAGATCCTTTCCTTCCCAGTTCAGGGGTCTTTTATCATTGGGAAGCAATGCTCAAACTCTTTTGAAACCTGAAGTAGGTAATCATGTACCACCTGGGAAAAAGAAGGCTCTGGCTCAATCTCTTTCAAAATTCCTGCTAATGATTGAATCTTGTAAAAAAAATGTTCACTCATCACCCTCATAATTCCAATTTGGCTTTGAACATAGTCACTTTTTCTGCCGACTTGAACACACTTGTCATTCTACCCTGAAGTGACAGATTGAGTTTGTTGAGCAGGTTGAATACGTCACATGAGTAAGCAAATTTTGTGGCCCATTCTGTGTCACTGAAATGTGCTGCCAGTGGTGACTTTTTCTAAAAGAAATCTCTGGAGTAGCTCTCATAACTCAAAAACTCTGGCCAGTGATCTACCTTTAGAAAGCCATCTCAGTTCTAGGTGTAAGAGAAGACAGGTGTGCTCCTCATCCATCTCCTCACAGAGCTTAGTGAACAGACATAAGTTAAGGGCATGTACTTTAATGTGGTTGATAATTTTAATTACATTCTGCAAAATGATGTTAAGTTCAGCTGACACTTTTTGGCTTGCCAGCATTTCTCTACGGATGACACAGTGCATAGACTCACATTCAGAAGCAACCTCTTTAACCCAAGTAGTGAAACCAGAAAGCTGTCCAGTCATGGCCACTCTATCCATGCATATACCAAAACAAAATGACCAGTTAAGTTTTCCTGATATGTAATCATTAAAAGACTTGACTAGTGCTGCAGCTCTGGTGTTGGTTGGGAAGAAAAGTGCACACATTACCTCATGCACATCCTCCTGAAAATATATTGCACAAAAATAAGCATTGTTGGCCGGGGCAGTGGCTCATGCCTATAATCCCTGCACTTTGGAAGGCTGAGGCAGGTGGATCACAAGGTCAGGAGTTCGACACCAGCCTGGCCAAGATGATGAAACCCCGTCTCTATTAAAAATACAAAAATTAGCCAGGCGCGGTGGTGGGCGCCTGTAATCCCAACTACTCGGGAGACTGAGGCAGGATAATTGTTTGAACCCAGGAAGCACACTCCAGCCTGTGCGACAGAGACTCCATCTCAAAAACAAACAAACAAGTATTGTTACATTGTTGCAACATCAGTAGATTCATCAACCTGGATTGCATACCACAGTGACTCATTAATCCTCTCTAACAATGGTGTCTCAGTATCTTCTATTTTATCAATTCATTTAGTTATGGTTCTGGCTGAAAGAGGAACATGTACCACCTTTTGAACTGCAGTGTCTCCTAAAAGTTTACAACAAATGTCCTTAGCAGCAGGCAGGATCAACTCTTCACCAACAGTAAAGGGCTTCTTAGCTTTAGCAATGTGGTTAGCCACAAGAATGATGCTGTCAGTGCAGACGCATCTGATGCAGTGGTGGCCTTCAATAATTGCTTCTCTTTGTGTTCACATTTTTTTTTCATTTGAAAAACTCCAAAGGCTTGTCTTTTAATGCAGAGTGGTTGGTCTCCATGAGACAAAGCAGTTTTGAAGGTTTCGTGGCTTCGTTGGATAGGTGATCACCACATATTATACAAAGTGGGTTTGGAGACTGTGAATCACCTTTTGCATTGAACCCATAATTTTAGTAGGATTCTCGGTATTTTCTTTTAAATGCAGCTTTCTTTTTGTTGGCAATCTTAGTGTCTTCTTCTGTCTCATCATTGGGTCTTTCCTCCTTTTCAAAGAAGCTCTCCAGTGATGTTTGTTTTTTACTCATTTTGGCTAGGCTTAGCTCATGAGTTTGCCAAAACTTGACTGAGACAAGTGTGCAGTGCAAGAAAGAGGCATGGGCAGAAGTGGTAAATAAAATAATGACAGGGCCACATGCAGGCTAAAATAACTGTCACATTCGGACTTAAAGCCTGCCAACAGATGCAGCTTAATTGTCACTTGCCACTCACTGATAGGATTTTGATATGAGTCTGTAAACAATTGATTTATCATGCTGTCTGTGCAGTCAAACCTCTCTGCTAATGTTCATCTTATATGCAGCCGCTCCCCAGCACTAGCATCACTGCCTCGGCTCCACCTCAGGTAATCAAGCAGTAGAGTCTCATAAGGAGCACTCAACCTAGATCCTCTCATGCATAGTTCAGAATAGGGTTTGTGCTCTTATGAGAATCTAATGCTACTGCTGATCTGACAGGAGGCAGAGCTCAGGCATTAATGTGAGTGATGGGGAGCAGCTATGAATACAGATGAAGCTTTGCTCACTTGCCCACTGCTCACCTCCTGCTGCACAGCCTGGTTGTTAACAGGCCACGGACTAGTACTGGTTCATGGCCTGGAAACTGGGGACCCTGATGTAGGTCATAAAATTCTGATTCCTGATAGCCAGCTCTATGCTCTAGTAAACTATACCCCTTCCCTTCAAGGCATCTAATTTTAGTTAAAAGAAGATTGTATTTGTTTTCATGTGTATCAGTGGTGACATAATATTTCTCTAAATGCAATAATTATATGTTGGACACATACCACATGTATGTTTGACGGAATACAGAATTTCCATAAGATAAATAATAATGCAATAGTCATTACTATCTCATCATTTCTACATGGTCTTCTGTGTTTAGAAATATAAGAATTCTAATTACCATAATACTTTATAATACTAGTTTACATATAATTATAGTATGTATACGTATATATTAGTTTGATATGTCAAGTCTGTTAAAAGTTAAAGATTTGGTAACTGGATATTTTCAATCTAGGGGCTCAGAAAAACACAGTACTTCAGTGCCAAAGAGGAAAAATTAAAAGACGCAAAGAAGGAAAAGCGTTGACTATAGTTAAAAGAATGCAGTGGTTATGATGTGAGCAAAGAGATACAAAATCAAAAGAATCAATTCAGCATGTTCAAACTGAATAAATTTTTTGACCTTAGGAAAAATGCATTATCAACAAAGATAATGCCTTAGATTAAAAGCTACTTTTAAAAACTGGCTTCTTTGGTGCCATAGGAGCCAGACCTTTGTTGGTCCTCTAGTCCCCTGCTGCACAAGGTGTGACCTACACCAGCCCTACAGCAGCACCAGCCTCAGATGGAAGCCCATTAGAAATGAGGAATCCCACTCCAGCCTGGGCGACAAAGTGAGACTTCAAAAAAAAAAAAAAAAAAAGGAAATGAGGAATCCTACGGTCCACTCCACACCTGCTAGAACAAAACAAGTATGTAGAAAACTAGGATCTGTCATATTGTTGATTTCTGGTAGCCACAAATATAAATTATTTTCATAACATAATTTAGAAATATAATTAAAATCACATAATTTCTATAGAACCAAGATATAATAAGTAGACCATGGGTGCCAATGAAGGTCATTTATTAGATAACTTGTATATTTAAAACCTAGAGAATAGAAGGACAATGAACAGGAAAAATAAAACATCTGTTTCAAAAATAATTTCTGGATCTTGATAAGAAACTACTGCTATTAATAGCAAAGGTGCTGACATTTTCAGATACAAAGGTGAATTTTCAGCTTCTGAAGACACCCATGAACATATGACAATATAATTATTATACACTTAAATGTCAAAAGATTAACCTTTTAGTTTCTACAGCAATTATTACATAATTATCAAAAACTCTTTATGATGTGTTAGACAGTAACTACATCAATTCTAAACCTGGTTCTTCTACACTCCTTCCTGGATGATTCCATAGGTTTTAGTGGATTTCACTACTAAAACCACTTTTTTCTTATTTCTATCCAAATAATCTCTGAAAGATATTAATCTACACCAGGATCAAAATGTTAACAGGAAACCAACGGAAATAAAAACCAATATAGTAAAATGGCACAGCCACTATGGTAAACAGTACGGCGGTACCTAAAAATATGAAAAATAGAATTACCATATGATTTAGCAATTCCACTTCTGAGTATATACTCAAAAGAATTGAAAGCAGTTTGGAAGAGTTATTTGCATACCCATGGTCTTAGCAGCATTATTTATAACAGCCAAAAGATAAAAGCAACACAAGTGTCCAACAACCAACAACCAAGGGGAGAATGGATAAAGAAGATGAGGTATTATAATATATGCATGCAATAAAATATGATTGGGCTTTATAAGGAAGAAAATTCTGTCATCTGCTACAACATGGATGAAACTTGAGGACATCATTCTAAATGAAATAAACCAGTCACAGGAAGAAAGATACTGTATAATTCCCCTTACACAAGGCACCCAGACTAGTCACATTGATAGAGACAGAAAGTAGAAGGGTGGTTTCCAGGCGCTATGTGGAAGGGGGGAAAAATGAGTTGGTACTTAATGGATATAGAATTTCAGTACTTCAAGATGAAGAAAGTTTTGAATATTGGTTGCACAACATGTGTATGTAGTTAACACTACTGAACTGTACACTTACAAACTGCTAAGGTGGTAAAAACTTTATGTTATGTGTATTTCACCACAATATTTTTTTATTTTTTTATTTCATTTTATTTTATTTATTTTTTTTTGAGACAGGGTCTCGCTCTGTCACCAGGCCTCCTGAGTAGCTGGGACTACAGGTGCCCACCATCACGCCCGGCTAAGTTTTGTAATTTTAGTAGAGACAGGGTTTCACCATGTTGGTCAGGCTGGTCTCGAACTCCTGACCTCAGGTAATCTGCCCGCCTCAGCCTCCCAAAGTGCTGGGATTACAGTCATGAGCCACCGCGCCCGGCCAATTTTTTTTTTTTATTTTAAAGGGGAAAATAAACCGATGCAGAAGGACATACATAGCTAGGTGTTTATTGTAGCATCATTTACAATAAACACTAGAAATAAGTGAATGTCATGACAAGGAAAATGGCTGAATAATTTGCCATCTAATAATATGAAGACATTGACTTAAGGTAAATTAGTTGATTTGGAATAATTTCCACAAAGTAAAACTATTATAAATGAATAAAGTAAGATGAAGAATATTGTGTATATATGATCACCTTATGAAAAGCAAGCTACCAACAAATGAAATAATATAATACAAATTATACTAGTCACTGACATTATTGAACACTCATTACACATCAGGTACCTTTCTAAACACGTAACATGAAATAATGCACTTAATCTTCACAACATCCCGTTAGCCCAGTTTTCAAATAAATCAGCTGAGTTACTGAGAGGTTAGAAAGATTCTCCAAGGTCACAAGGTAAGTGTCAGAGACAAGGTGCAAATCCAAGAAGTTGACCTCCAGAAGCTCGTCCTTAAATGTGTGTGTGTATATACGCACGTGTGTGTGTGTCTTTTTATATATGATTCCAGATGAAATATATGGAATAATATGTAATAGGCTGATGTGCATTCTCTGGAGTAGAGACAGGAGTGCCAATGTGGCTGAAAGGAAAAAGAAAGGCAGGGTGGGAATCAGGGAAAAAAAGAAGAGAGCCAGAAGCATAAATGGAATGGCCATATTTGTGCATTTATGTAATATCACATATGTGTAAGAGGAAACATCAAAACTCAAGAAAAGAACAATGAAAAATGTATTCCCAGGAATAACTGTACTTTGGCTTTTTGAAACTTTGGTAATGCTATTTCGGAAAGTGAAATTTGAAATTCTCAGGCAATATTATAGATTTCTATAATTGCACTCATTTTGTATATTTCAACAATTAAATAAAAATCAAATATTTGTGACATTTTATATATGCCTTCTATCTTGTTTTCAAAAGTCTGAGATAGTCTTATCAATGGTTAAAAAATAACAACAAATATTAATTCATAATCTGTACAATGACAATAGATGTTTTGAGAGGAGAAATGTGTGCTTCATAGTCAAACCAGTGCAGAAGACACAGCATTAACGTTAAACAGAATATTTTTAGTCAGTTCACCTTACATAATTTACTATGTTGATGTTTACTGTAAATCTCTAAAAGGGACTAAAGTATGCATCATCTTCCAACTTTTTTTGACTAGAGAGAACTTTTTCCCGTGCCTTTTAAACACTGCAAGAAAAAAAAAAAGATTTCACACAGCAGAATCTAGGAGCCTCTTACCTACAATATAACTTTTCTTAACCTTCAAAACTGCCATAAATTCCCTCTGAAACAAGGCAATGGGAGATATAAATACAGAGATACAGAGAGGTTTTGCTTATTTGTTTTCAGTTCACCAAGTTATGTTCTCACATTTGATATTTTATCACACATAAGATATTAATACCAGAAAAGCAAATATGAGCTCAGCCATGTATTCATTTATCTTTTTGAAAACAAGAAGTTTACTCACATCAGTCAGTTCTTGACCCATAGTATCATAGCATTTGATTTTTGTCTGTGAGTTTCATATTATTCAAAAACTAATCTGTCTGAAGCTATTTTTATGTTAATGTCTATTTTATGTCCTTTCACTATGTTGAAAGTGTTGGCCAGTCATAATACATTCAAGTAATAAAAAAGCCCCAAAAATCAATCAACTAAGACCCCAACAGAATACTACCCTGGTGCAAGAATACCTTACACTTTCCTCTACCGAGGGAATCAGAAAATCTACAGGGTCTAAAATATGTGTAAGGGAATAGAAACAAAAAGAAAGAGGAAAGATTTTGTAACCTGGCCAAAGAGATAGTTTCCACTAATGAGCTGCCATTGTTAGAGGCTGTACAAACATTTGATTTAAAAGGACTTTATTGCTGTACTTCCTAAAGCTCACTTTTAAGATTGTAAGCATACTCCTGCTCTTTGAACTTTACTAGGTTTTCATGCTGTGATTTGACTACATGCTCTCCAAAATTCATGTTGACACTTAATTCCCATTGTGTTGGTATTAAGAGATGAGGTCTTTAGGTTGGTGATTAGGCCTTGAGAGGTCCCACCTCATGAACAAATTAGCATTCTTACAAAACGGTCACA
Organism: Homo sapiens; assembly: GCF_000001405.40. Taxonomy (NCBI): domain Eukaryota; kingdom Metazoa; phylum Chordata; class Mammalia; order Primates; family Hominidae; genus Homo; species Homo sapiens. The sequence continues at coordinate 17,674,288 of NC_000005.10, read as the reverse complement.
GGCCACTCTTGCCCTTCCTCCTTCCTCCACATGAGGACAGAGTCATAAGGTGGCATTTTGAAACCTTAGAGTAGCCCTCACCAGACACCACTGTTGGCACCTTGATCTTGAACTCCCAGCCTCCAGAACAGTAAGAAATACATTTCTGTTCATTATAAATTACCCAGCCTAAGATATTTTGTTATAGCAGTGCAAAGGGGCTAAGACATAGGAGAAAACTGATGTGAAAGAACTCTGAAGAATTCTTAAACCTATTTAGTAAGTTTATTATTAAAACTGAAGATAATGGGAATTAACAGGGTTCAATGATAGATATTCCTAATTGTTCATCAAAATCTGTCTTCCTGTCTTCTGGGCATGTGGCTGTCCAGCCTCATTTGATGTTAACTTCAGCCATGTGTCCACTCTTACGCCAAGTTCCACTCTCAGGTCTAGCTCAACATTCCATGGGCAGTCCCCTCCCAGACTCTCTTCTCCTCAGTGTCAACTAGAGTATTTTGCAGACAAATTTTCCTCACAAAAATGATGACAAGACAGCAATGGAATAATTGAATTGCAACAAATCTGGATCCCTGAATAAATAACAGTGTGGAGCAGAGTTACTCATCAATCTGGAAAGCTCAACTCAGTCTGTTAAGCAGGAGATAAATAAATGTGAATTATTGAATTACACTATACAGAAAGAATGTCACTACCTGAGTTTAAGTCCCATATTTGCCACTGCCTGACTGGGTGAGCTCAGGCAAGTTGTCATTTCCTAATTTCTAAAATGAGAGTGTCTGGCCACATCAGTGCTTTGACAACAGTGTCTCACAGAGCCCTAATTCTCACATTTTTTAAATTATTTCAGAGGGTAGTTTTGGTGGTAGATGAAAGGACATGAGTTAGTGAAGTAGGAAGACATAAGAATCCTTACAATGTTGGTTTACAGACCCCAATTTTTTTCCCTCATCAACTAGTGCAACTCTCTGTTTTACACACTGGGCATTCAAGTATATGAATAAAGAATTCTGCAATTAGAAATATTTATCAAAACCACTAAGCTATAAAATGAATAACATATGCTTACATTCTGCCATTCTGTATTTTTAGTTGTTCAGTTTCTTAGTAACGATGCAGATTTTTCTCTAAAACATCTTTGCACTTTCACTTAATTGCACTTGTGATCAGTGACACATATTTCATAAGTGACCTGACAAAGTTAGTCACAGAGTCCATAGTCATAAAATTTAATTTTCTTTGTGCAAATTAACTAGGCTATCCAGGGATCTAAGATACAATCTTGACCTCATTAATTTTGTACTTGAATCAACTTACAGGGGAAAAAAAGAGGTAAGAAACATTTTGCTGTATTAAATGAGTTTTTCATATCCATTTGGTGCCTTCAGTTTGTTGTGGCAGAATTCTGGACAACAAGTAACAAAAATAATTGTTCTGTGATGTATTAATGTCTTTTAAACTCAACACTCCACCCTATGGCCCTCGTAATAGTGTCCATTGCATATGTCATTGACAGCCTTTCCTTTGACTCACTGACAATCAGAATCTAATCTCTCTGGATTCTCCAGGGTTATTTTGAAGAGTTATCATTTCTTGGTGATAACATTTCAATCCTCTAGACTACACAATTCAATACTCATCAACTTATGTCTAACACTCAAATCATTATCACTCATTACACCATTATATATATTTACTCTTATTTCTAACAATTTATCTATACTCACCCTCTCTGTAGACATATTCAATTATCTTTCTATATATTTATTTATAAAAACTAAACATTATTTGATATTAAATATTGATCAAAATTTACAGCTCCTGCTACCAAAGCACTTGGAGCTAATGCCATGGGATTTATTTTTAATAATACATTCTTTTCAATCAAATCATTAGTATTAAAAGACATAATATACATACAAATTGTAATGGTGTTACTTATTTTGTTACTATAGATCTCATAAAATTTCTTGTCTGCGAATGGCATGCATTATATGGATGAGTGTTGCTTTCTGCTACAAGTGTCAGAAAAGTGTAAGATGGATTGAAACAGGAATTTTGTTCTCATGAACCCACCTGGAGGTATCACCTGTTAACTCACATAAATGGCTCAATAAAGTCAGGGATGGCTTCTCTGTCATTTCCAACCTGGGCAATGGAAAGATGGCTCAATCCAGCCATCACATCCAGGTCCAAGACTGAGGAGGAGCCAAGAAGAGCATCAGTGATATTCACACAGGATCATTTTATCAGAAAAGCTTCCGCTTTCCCATGAGCCTCTCTGCAGTTTCCAATATGTGTTTCTTAGCAGAGAATAATGCCCCAGGAACATCCCTGCCACAGAGAAATATCAGCTAGAGGAGTGGCTACTTAGATTTTTCACATTCTCTTTCCTGGTGCTATGTACCATCAGAGCACCTGATAAAACAACTTCATGCCTCATCAACTGCCTAAGATACAACTTTATTAAAACATGTTTTTATTATAAATACTTCCATTACTATCATAAAATGTGAACTGTCAGAATCTCTGTTGCAGGCAGAATTCTGGATGACCACGGTATTAGTCTGTTGTCACACTGCTATAAAGAAATATCTGAGACTGGATAATTTATAAAGCAAAGAGGTTTAATTGACTCACTGTTCTGAATGGCTGGGGAGGCCTCAGGAAACTTACAATCGTGGCAGGAGGGGCAGCAAACACGTCCTTCTTCACAAGACAGCAGGAGAGAGAAGTGCGAAGAGTGAGAGGGAAGAGTCCCTTATAAAACCATTAGATCTTATGAGAACCCACTCACTATCCCAAGAACAGCATGGGGGAAACTGGGAAACTGCCCCCATGATTCAGTTACCTCCACCTGGTCTCTCCCTTGACATGGGGAGTATGGGGACTATAGGGATTACAATTCAAGATGAGATTTTAGGTGGTGACAACAAAACCGTATCAACCACCACCTATGATCCATCCCATAATGCATACTCCAGATATCTGCCCCTCTTTTGAGTGTTGGAGGAACCCATGAACTTAGTTTTTCATACCTTGATTAGGTTACAAATCTGTGAACCCGTAAATACAATGGAAGGTAACACCACCCTTTGGTGTGGCACTACCCATAGACTTGATAAGCTTTTACTGTGGGGGGTGGTGGGGGAGGGAGGAGAACCTCATTGGTGCCCCTTGCCCTGCCTCCCACCTCAGGATGATGCAGAGATCCTTTGAGCTGACACCTGGGCATGTCATCCCCTTACCCCCAGGACTGCACTCAGCCCTGACCAGTTACTTTGTAGGGTGGGATGGGGACAGCTCATTCTCATTAAATTAAAAATCTCGTGAAGCAATGAGTGCAATGGAAGCTAGCCAGGTGGCTCTAATGCAATCATCGCAGCGAATTATAAGACTCTAAACTTGGTTGAGACCACAGAGCAAGACTAGCTGCAAGAAGATTCCCACTGCCGGTGTGTAGACCTCGGAAGCCCAGGACCCCACAGGGCGAACGAGCAGCCTGACCCGCAGACCTGTGAGCAGGTAAGTCTAGGGCTGGATTGAAAGGGGCTAAGAGTGGGGTTGCGTCTTCTGCACAGATCTCAACTCACAGGCTCTCTGAGTCCTGTCCACAAACCCACCGCCCTCGCTCCCTGACGCCAGAGCTGCCTGCAGCTGGCCAGGCTCAGCCCAAGGACAGGGGAGAGGCCGCGGCCCTGCACCACAGTGGACATCAAGCAGAACACCTGCAAAGCCACCACCTCGGAGGCCCCCAGGAAGCCCCTGGCCACCAAAGCTGCCAGCAAGAGGGCGCCGCCTACAGGAGGGATCAAGAAGCCCCACGGCTACAGGTCTGGCACCCTGGCACTCTGCAAAATCAGAAAGTACCAGAAGTCCACTCAGCTGCTCCTGCGCAAGCTGCACTTCCAGCGCCTGGTGCGCGAGATCACCCAGGCCATCAGCCCGGACCTGCGCTTCCAGAGCGCAACCACTAGCGCCCTGCAGGAGCCCAGCAAGGCCTACCTGGTGCGCCTCTTTGAAGACACCAACCTGTGTGCCATCCATGCCAGGCACGTGACATGACAATTATGCCCAGAGACATGCAGCTGGCCCGCTGCCTCCGTGGAGCGGGTACTTAAGAGCCCACGCTCCTGGGATACCTTGCACTCTAGACGGCTTCGTTTCTCTTTTGTTGTGTTTTTTTTTTCTCTTCTTTCAGTTACTGGTAGTTCTGATGTTAGAAGTTTTATTACGTTCTGGTTTCTTTTCCCCCATGGGGTCCAAAAGTAGCTAAGAATATGATTGGGAGTGGAAACATAAGCAGAAATCACAGGTAGTGACTGTGTTTCTATTTGCTTTTATTTGTAAACTTTTATTCTGCATTGAGGGTCTAATGCATTAGTGTTGAGTGGAAATGTGTCAGTGAGCAAGTTTCAGCACTTCAGCTCTACATCAATTGTCAATACATTTGCTCTTTTGTGTGGAGAATGCCTCATTTAGACTATTTACAAGCAAATACATTTCTTCTTGATGGAAACTCGATGATATTTGTTGCACTTGATCAAACAGTAGATGAGACCCACACTTTGAAGTTTTCTATATGCAGCTACATGGTTTCAATGTTCCCTGTCTCCTGGGCTGTTCCTGCTAGTTTGCTATGAAAATACATCCAACTCTACTTTCTAAAAAGTGAATAGACTCTCTATCCACAAGTCACTTCACATTACAGGAGGCAGAACAGCCAGCGTGGGTCTGTTTATGGGTAGGAAAGAGAGAGACACTTATTAGAAGTTTCTAATGCAGTCCGTCACTGGTAGGTCAGTGTTCTAGAACATGGTCATGGCCATGCCCATGGCTGGAATGACCGGGGTCTTATTCAGGGAGGTGGTAGAAGCAGCCCTGGGTGTGTGTGAGATGGGGAATCAGACGCCCCGCTGCAGCCCAAGCATTGGAAGGAGGCTGTTCACAGATGAAAACCCAAGGGCCACTTCCTCAACACCTAGTACAAAATAATTGTCTTCTTCTGGGCCCCAGTCTAGATAGAAAGGCCTGTTCTTAAAGGACAAAGAACTGAATCCACTGTTTCTATGACAGGACTGCCTGTGCCCTGCACCTTCTGTGTTTTAGTCTAGGCTGAATTGACCGACGATTTTAAAGTCTTTCTCCAGCTGTGTCATTGATCTCATCTAGATGAAGGCAGCAGCTTCTTTCATAATTGCTTTGACTAAATATTTGTGCTTCTAAGGGCATATAGACACATTTTTCTGTTTCTTTCTACCTGGAAGAAAAAAGTTGTGTGGGTCCAAAGCATCCTGGGGACAGGAAGCTACTTTAAGAGAGAAAAACTCTTCCAAGAGACTTATGTGTTTTCATACTGAAGCCTGGAGTTGCAATGTCTTAGCTTTTATGCTTGTTGCTTGATTTCAACAGGTGAAGCCTCCAGAAACTATTTCCTTATGGTAGTCTATCCAGAAGGCTGTGTCCTGACCAGGAGACTGGAATTGATTTGAATGAATGAAATTTGAATGAATGAAAATTGAATTTTCATTTGTCATCCACTGAACTATTTTCTGACTTTTGCAAGAAATGAAATTAAAATTACACACCAAATTGTTGTCTAAAATGACTTTACTCACATTGCTACCAATATTGTTTTATGTCAGGGAGGGCTATTTGATAATATTAAAATGGTAAAGTATTCTAGAAGCCGCATGGAAAACTTCAGAGAGAAAACAGACCCTAGAAACACTGTCTAGTCTCTGCACTCATTTCCATGCCTTCAGCTCTGAAGAATCGGTTTTACTGTAAACTATTTTTATAGCTAAGGTAATATACTGATCTCTCTGTTGTCCTTCGGAGAAAGAAAAATACATCTGACATGTAATTTTATAGTACATAAGAATTCTCACATATTTTAATTTTATATTATGGTGTTAAAATGCAAAAATTAAAGAAAAAATTCCTATGATTATAAGATTTAAGCATTAAATATTTTCATTAAAATAAAACACTCTTTCTAATTACACTGACATATAATTCATCAAATACTCTGAATATAAGAGAAATGGGAACAAATGTATAATAAAAAATCAAATGAACTTCTGGTGTTCGTGGTGGCGTGGATGGAGCTTAGTCGTCATCACTCTGCCCTAACAACAAGCATAAAATTTAAAAAGTGCAAAATTGGCCAGGCATGGTGGTTCATGCCGGTAATCCCAGCACTTTGGGAGGCCAAGGCAGGCAGATCACCTGAGGTCGGAAGTTCAAGACCAGCCTGGCCAACATGGAGAAACCCCATCTCTACTAAAAAAAAAAAAAAAATACAAAAATTAGCCTGGCATGGTGGCGCCTGCCTATAATCCCAGCTACTCGAGAGGCTGAGGTAGGAGAATCGCTTGAACCTAGGAGGTGGAGGTTGCGGTGAGCCAAGATCGCACCATTGCACTCCAGCCTGGGCAACAAGAGTGAAACTCTGTCTCAAAAAAAAAGTGAAAAATCAACATCTCTTTTGACATTTCTCTGAGTAGTGAGGTCACAGGGCAAACTGCGGAGAAAATAAAAAGATCTGTGCTTTCCTCACTTCAAAGTATTCTATAAAATGATAGTAACCCAAGCAGAATAACACTGGCTTAAAAACAGACACTTAGACCACTGGAACAGAATAGAGGCCACAGAAGTCAATCCAGACATGTACGGCCTACTGAGTTTACACAAAGGTGACAACAACAATGAAGAAATGACTGTCTTTTCAATCAATGGTGACAGGAAAACTAGATATCCACATGCAAAATAATCAGATTATACCCTTTTCTCTTAGCATATACAAAAATACACTAAAATCTCTTTCAAACTTCAGAGCAGGACCCTCAACTATGACCCTACTACAAGAAACGTAGGGAAAAACATCCCCAACGCTGGTTAGGCTAGTGATCTTTTAGATATAACCCAAAAACACAGACAACGAAAGCAAAAGTAGACAAAAGGAATTACATCTAACAAGTTTCTGCACAACAAAGGAAACAATCATCAGAGTGAAGAGAAAACCAGCAGAATGGAACAAAATATTTGCACACCATATATCTGATAGGAATAAATTTCCAAAATACCTAAGAAACTCAAACAACTCAATAGGAAGAAAACAAAAATCCAAAATAAAAATAACCAAAAGACCTAAAGAGACATTTATAAAAAAAAAGACAGAAAGGTATGGCCAGTGGTTGTATGGAAAAATGCTCCACATCACTAACCATCACAGAAATGCAAACTACAACCAAAATAAAATATTACGTCACACCCATTAGAATAACTGTTATGAAAATGTCAAGAGATAACAATTGTAGATGAAGATGTGAAGAAAAGGGAAACCGCTTGCCCTGTTGGTGAGAATGCAAATTAGTACAACCACTACAGAAACTAGTATGGCAGTTCCTCCAAAAACTAAAAATAGAGCTACGATATGTTCCACCAATGCCACACTGCTAAATATATATCCAGAGGAAATAAAATTAGTATACTGAAGAGCTGTCTGTATGCTCATGTCTATTGAAGCAGTATTTACAATAGCTAAGATATAAAATCAACATAAGTGTCCAAAAAAAGATGATTGGATAAAGAAGATGTGATATGTATACACAACAAAATACATCTCCAGGTTCATCTATGTGTTCTTATATTTTAAGGCTACTTAAGGAATAGCCTAAAAAAATAAGGACACATAGATGAACCTGGAGATCATTATGCTATGTTATGCTATGTGAAATACGCAAGGCATAGAAAGACAAATACTACTTGACCTCAATCTTACGTAGAATCTAAAAAAGTTGATCTTATAGAAGTAGACAGTAGCATGGTAGTTACCATGGGTTGGGGTGGCAGGGGTGGGGTATTTGAGGAGACAGTCAAAATATACAAAATTTCAGTCACGTGGGAGGAATAAGTTCAAGAGATCTATTTTACAGCGTGGTGACTCCACCTAACAATATATCGTGCTCTTGAAAAATGCTAAGAGTGAATGTGAAGTGTTCTTAACAAAACTACAATAACTATGTAAAAATTAGCTAGATTTTGACATTGTAAAATGTATATAATACATCATGTTGTACATAACAAGTATATACAATATGAAATGTCAGTAGACAAGATTTACCAATAAATAAATATAGAGATCCATGGTGGGAAGGGGTTGGTGCTGAAAGAAGGAATAGAGAAGCTAGAGACAAAAGATTTTTAGAGAAGTGAAACTATTTCATAGGACACTATGGTTGCGGATGCCTGTCATGATGCATCTGTCCAAACCCATAGAATGTACAACAAAAACATAGTGAACCCTAATGTAAGCTACAGACTTTGAGTGATAATAATATGTCAATGTGGGTTCAATGATTGTAACTCACATACAATCTGGGATAGGGAGTTGATACCGGAGGGAGGCTATGCCTATGTGGGGGAAAGGATATAGGGGAACTCTCTACTTTTTGCCCAATTTTGCATAAAACTAAAACTTTTCTATAAAATGAGCACAAAATTCTTAGCTAGAGCCATCAGGCAAGAGGAAGAAATAAAAGGTATTAACATTGGAAAAGAGCAAGTCAGACTATCTCTGTTGCCTGGTGATCTGATGGTATACACAGCAAACCTTAAACACTCCTACAAAAGACAGCCAGACCTTATAGGTAAATTCAGTAAAATCTCAGCTTACAAAAGTCATGCACACAAATTAATAGCATGCTATACACCAACAACAGCCAAGATGAGAATTAAATCAAAAACTCAATCCCTCTTACAGTAGCTACATATGTATATGGGAATATACTTTAAAAAGAAAGTAAAAGATTCCAACAAGGAGAACTACAAGGCACTGCTGAAAGAAGTAATAGATGGTACAAACGAGCAGGAATACTTTCCATGCCCGTGGATTAGAAAAAACAGTATTGTTAAAAAAAAAAAAAAAAAAAAAACCATGCAGCCCAAAGCAAACTACAGATTCTATGCAATTTCTTCCCAAATAACAATGTCATTTTATGCAGAGTTAGAAAAAAAAAATTCTACAGTTCATATGGAACCAAAAACAGCTAGGATAGCCAAGCCATCCTAAGGAAAAGGAATAAATATGGAGGCATCACATTACCGGACTTCAAAGTATCCCAAAAGGCTATGCCAAACAATGTGGTATTGGCACAAAAGTAGATCCGCAGACCAATGAAACAAAATAGAGAAAACAAAAATAAAGCCAACTGATTTTGACAAAGCATACAGAAACATCGACTGGGGAAATAACACCCTATTGAATAAATGGTGATGGGAACATTGAATAGCCGCACACAGAAGAAAGAAACTGGATCCCTATCTTTCATCATACACAAAAATTTACTTAAGGTGACTTCAAGACTTAAATCTAGGTCCTGAAACAATAAAAACTCTAGAAGAAAACCGGAAAAACTCTTCTAGACATTGGCCTAGGCAAAGAACTTATAACAAAGACCCCAAAAGCAAATTCAAAAAAAGCAAAAATAAATCAGTGGGAGCTAATGAAAAGAAAAAGCTTCTCCAAAGCAAAATAAATCATCAGAGTAAACAAACAACCTACAGAATGGGAGAAACTATTTGCAAATTATGCCTCTGGCAAAGGACTGATAGATCCAGAATCTACAAGAAATTGAAACAAATCAAAGAAAACACAAATAATCCCATTAAAAAGTGAGCAAACAACATGCATAGACGTTTCTCAAAAGAAGACACACAAACAACTAATAAACAGGGAAAAATGCTCCACATCTCTAATTATCAGGGAAATGCAAATTAAAGCCACAATGAAAAACAGCTGAGTTTCTCACCCACCTTACCCCAGCGAGAATGGCCATTATTCAATAGTCAAAGAACAGCAGGTGTTGGCGTAAATGTGGTGAAAAGGAAACGTTTAGGCATTGCTGGTGGAATGTAAATTAGTACAACCTCTGCAGAAAACGGTGTAGAGATTTCACAAGGAACTCAAAGTAGATCTACTATTCCATCCAGCAATCCCACTACTGGGTACACACCTAAAAAAAAGAAGTCATTATATCAAAGAAACCTGCACACATATTTTTATCACAGCACAATTCACAATTGCAAAGATATAAAATCAACCTAAGTGCCCATCAGCTGACGAGTGGGCCCCAAGATGGCCAATCGGAAGCAGCTTTGGTCTGTGGCACTCACAGAGAGGAAGAGGGGCGAGTGAATGCAGCACCTTCAACTGAAATATCCAGGTACTCACATTGAGACTATGTAGGAAAACAACCTGACCCATGGAGAATGAAGAAAAGCAGGATGGGCCGGGCGCGGTGGCCCACGCCTCTAATCCCAGCACTTTGGGAGGCCGAGGCGGGCGGATCACGAGGTCAGGAGATCAAGACCATCCTTGCTAACACGATGAAGCCCCATCTCTACTAAAAAATAGAAAAAATTAGCCGGGCGTGGTGGCGGGCGCCTGTAGTCCCAGCTACTCGGAAGGCTGAGGCAGGAGAATGGCGTGAACCTGGGAGGCGGAGCTTGCAGTGAGCCGAGATTGCGCCACTGCACTCCAGCCCAGGCGACAGAGGGAGACTCCGTCCCAAAAAAAAAAAAAAAGAAAGAAAGAAACCAGCCAATGCCCATCAATCGGGTCGATAAAGAAAATGTTTATATATATGTATATACACCACTGAATACAACTCAGCCAAAAATAGGAAAGAAAAAGAAAAAGAAAAGTAGGGTGGAGAAACGGTCCACCCTGGAGCAACACAGAGCCAAGGGAACCCGCACCCCCGGTGGAGGGAAGCAGTGAGTGATTGCATGCCCCCGGGAAACCACACTTCTCCCGTGGATCTTTGCAATCTGTGGATCAGGAGGTCCCCTTATAGGCCCGTGTCTCCAGCGCCTTGGATCTGATGCACACAGCTGTGTGGAGTCTCCACAGAGCAGCTGCTCAAACATGTACAGAGACCCAGGAGCTTTACATATTCTGGCCTCGGGATCCCTGGCAAGGACATCTGCAGCTCAGGCAAGGCAGAAGGTCTGTGCATAACCCTAGGAAGGGGGCTAAATCCTGGGGGCTGAGCAGCAACAATCTGCAGGCCCCACTTACATGGCAACTCACAAGATAGGACCCACTGGCTTGGAATTCTAGCCAGCCACAAGAAACAAGGTGGAGCCTGCCTGAGACAGGACAGAGACCCCAGGAAAGGGCCAAGCTACTATCTATGCTGTTTGGTCAACTCGGCTGTTTCGGTCTGTGGGCTTTGGAGAGTCCAAATGGTCGGGATGAGGTAGGGTGCCCCCAGCACAGCACAGCTGCTTTCCCAGAATGTAGCCAGACTGCTTCTTTAAGCAGGACCCCAATCCACTGCTCCTTGTGGGGTGGGTCCTCCCAGCCAGGGCCTCCAGCCATACCTGCCTCTGTTCTACAGCTGACAGAGTTCTAATTTCTCCCTGAGTCTAAGTACCCATGGGGTAGGGCATGCTGCCACCATGACTGTTCAGGCATCTCAGCTGGTCCAGCCTGTGGGCCTTGGAGAGCCTTAATGGATCAGGGGCTGAAGGGATTTCCAATACAGCACAGCTGCTCCACCAAAAAGCAGTTAGATTGCTTAAGTATGTCCCTGATCCTATTCCCCTCAACTGCATGAGATTTTCCCAAGCAGTGTAACCAGCCACCTCCTACATATACATTCAAGCCAGTAACAAGTTTAGTACCCTCCTGGGACAAAGTTTCCAGAGGAAGAAGCAAGATGCCATCTGTGCTGTTTTGCAGTTTTCAAGGGTGATAATTCCAAGTATGGGAAAAACCCAGGTGACTACAATCTGGAGCAGACACCCAGCAAACTGCAGCAGCCCTACAGAAGAGTGGCCAGAGTGTTTAAAAAAAAAAAAAATCAAACAGCAAACAACAACCACAACAAAACCAAAACCCCCATCTAAAGGTCAGCAACCTCAAAGCTTAAAGCTAGATAAACCCACAAAGATAAGAAAGAATTTGACAATGCTTTTTATTTTCTCTTACATTTCTTTCAGATGAAATTAAGCTTCAGAGAATAACATCTCCTATCACATTCGTATCACATTTTTGCATATCTAACTTGATTTTTTTCTCCTGAACTTTACTAAGTGATGTTGATATTCATCAGTTTCAATTTTGAAAAAAAAAAGAAATTCATGTTGCCTCTTTTAATTCTTAAAAAAAAAAAAAAGAAAAGAAAGAATTAGCACAAAAAAACCCTGAAAACTCAAAAACCCAGAGTGCCCCTTTTCCTCCAAATGACCACAACACCTCTCCACCAAGGGCTCAGAAATGGGCTGAGACTGAGATGGCTAAAATTTGCCATCATGTCCTTTGTAGGGACATGGATGAAATTGGAAAACATCATTCCCAGTAAACTATCGTAAGAACAGAAAACCAAACATCGCATATTCTCACTCATAGGTGGGAATTGAACAATGAGATCACATGGACACAGGAAGGGGAATATCACACTCTGGGGACTGTTGTGGGGTGGGGGGAGGGGGGAGGGATAGCATTGGGAGATATACCTAATGCTAGATGACGAGTTAGTGGGTGCAGTGCACCAGCATGGCACATGTATACATATGTAACTAAACTGCACAATGTGCACATGTACCGTAAAACTTAAAGTATAATAAAAAAAACTTTTAAAAAATTTAAAAATAAAAAAATAAAAAAATTACAGGATGTGGATAAAAATAAACTTCGCTGACCTAAAAGATCACGTTGTAACCCAATGGAAAGAAGCTAAGAATAATGATAAAACAATGTGGACTTAGACTCCCACACAATAATAATGAGAGACTTTAACACCCCACTGACAATATTAGACAGATCATCAAGACAGAAAATTAACAGATATTCAGGACCTGAACTCAGCTCTGGATCAAATGGACCTAATAGATATCTACAAAACTCTCCACCCAAAAACAATAGAATATACATTCTTCTCCTCACCACACAGCAGTTACTCTAAAATTAATCACATAATTGGAAGTAAAACACTTTTCACCAAATGCAAAAGAACTGAAATTATAACAGTCTCTTGGACCACAGCACAATCAAATTAGAACTCAAAATTAAGAAATTCACTCAAAACCGTACAACTACGTGGAAACTGAACAACCCGCACTGGAATGACTTTTGGGTAAATAATGCAATTAAGGCAGAAATCAAGAAGTTCTTTGAAACTAATGAGAATGAAGATAAAAATGTACCAGAATCTCTGGGATGCAGCTAAAGCAGTGTTAAGAGGGAAATTTGTTGCACTAAACACCCACATCAAAAAGTTAGAAAGGACTTGTTAAAAACCTAACATCACAACTAAACATCTAGAGGACAGGAGCAAACAAATGCCAAAGCTAACAGAAGATAGTAAATAACCAAGATCACAGCTGAACTGAAGGAGATAGAGACACAAAAAAAACCTTTCAAAAAATCAATGAATTCAGTAGCAGGTGTTTTGAAAAAATTAATAAAATAGATAAACTTCTAGCTAGGCTAATAAAGAAGAAAAAGAGAAGATTAAAATAAACACAATCAGGCTGGGTGCAGTGGCTCACGCCTGTAATCCCAGCACTTTGGGAGGCCGAGGCTGGTGGATCACAAGGTCAAGAGATCAAGACCATCCTGATCCAAAATGGTGAAACTCTGTCTCTACTAAAAATACAAAAATTAGCTGGGCATGGTGGCGTGCACCTGTAGTCCCAGCTACTCGGGAGGCTGAGGCAGGAGAATCGCTGGAACCCGGGAGGTGGAGGTTGCAGTGAGCCGAGATAGCGCCACTGCACTCCAGCATGGTGATACAGACTCCGTCTCAAAAAAAAAAAAAAAAAAACACACACACATAATCAGAAATACGGGGGATATCACCACTAACCCCACAGAAATACACACAACCATCAGAGACTATAAACAACACCTCCATGCACATAAACTAGAAAATTAGAAGAAATAGATAAATTCCTGGACACGTATACCCTACCAAGACTGATCCAGAAAGAAATCAAATCCTCAAATAGACCAATAAGTTCTAAAATTGAAGCAGTAATTAATAGCCTACCAACCAAAAAAAGGCCCAGGACCAGAGGATTCACAGTTGAATTCTACCAGAAGTAAAAAAAAAAAAAAGGGAGCTGGCACCATTCCTACAGAAACTATTCCAAAATATTAGGCCAGCATCATTCTGATACCAAAACCTGGCAGAGATACAACAAAAAAGAAAACTTCAGGCTAATATCCTTGATGAACATTGATGCAAAATTCTTCAACAAAATGCTGGCAAACCAAATCCAGCAGCATATCAAAAAGCTTATCCACCACAATCAAGTAGGCTTCATCCCTGTGATGCAAGGCTTGTTCAACATATACAAATCAATAAATATGATTCATCACATAAACAGAACTAAAGACAAAAGCCACATGATTATCTCAATAGATGTAGAAAAGGCCTTTCATAAAATTCAACATCACTTCATGTTAAAAACTCTCAATAAACTAGGTATCAAAGGAACATACCTCAAAATAATAAGAGCCGTATATGATAAATCCACAGCCAATATCATACTGAATGGTCAAGGGCTGGAAGCACTTCCTGTGCAAACTGGCACAAGAAAAGTTTGCCCTTTCTCACCACTCCTATTCAACATAGTACTGGAAGTCTTAGCCAGAGTAATCAGACAAGAGAAAGAAATAAAGGGCATCCAAATTGTTAAAGAGGAATTTAAACTGTCACTGTCTCCAATGGTATGATTGTATACCTAGAAAATCTAAAGACTCATGTAGAAAGCTCCTAGATCTGTTAAATGAATTCAGCAAAGTTTAAGGATACAAAATCAGTGTATACAAATCAGTAGCACTGCTATAAACCAACAGTGACCAAGCTGAGAATCAAATCAAGAACTCAGCCCCTTTTATAATAGCTGCGAAAAATAAAGTAAAATACTTAGGAATATACCTATCCAAGGATGTGAAAGACCTCTACAAGGAAAAGTGCAAAATACTGCTGAAAGAAATCATAGATGAAACAAACATAAAAACATCCCGTGTTTATGGAGGGGTAGAATCAATATTGTAAAAATGACCATACTGCCAAAAGCAATCTATAAATTCAATGCAATTTCCATCAATATTCCATTATCATTCTTCGCAGAACTAGAAAAAAACTGTTCTAAAATTTATATGGAGGTATAAAAGAGCCTGCATAGACAAAGTAAGGCTGAGCACAAAGAAGGAATATAGAGGCATCACATTACCCAACTTCAAATTATACTACAAGGCTATAGTTACCAAAACAGCATGCTACTGGTATAAAAATAGGCATATAGACCAATGAAACAAAATAGATAATCCAGAAATAAAGCCAAATACTTACAGCCAACTGATCTTCGACAAAGCAAACAAAAGCATAAAGGAGCGAAAGGACACCCTATTCAACAAATAGTGCCAGGATAATTGGCAAGCCTCATATAGAAGGATGAAAGCAGATCCTCAACTCTCACCTTATACAAAAATCAACTCAAGATGGATGAAAGACTTTAAATCTAAGACCTGAAGCCATAAAAATTCTAGAAGATAACATCAGAAAAACTCTTCTAGACATTAGCTTAGGCAAAGAGTTCATGACCAAGAAGAACCCAAAAGCAAATGCAAGAAAAACAAAGATAAATAGATAGGACTTAATTAAACTAAAAAGTTTCTGCACAGCAAAAAAACTTAATAAGAATCAGCAGAGTAAACAACCTATAGAGTGGGAGAAAATATTCACATACTGTGTATCTTACAAAGGACTAATATTCAGAATCTACAAGGAACTAAAACAAAGCCTCAAGGAAAAGAACAAACAATCCCATCAAAAAGTGGGCTAAAACATAAACAGGCAATTTTCAAAAGAAGATATACAAATGGCCACCAAACATATGAAAAAAATGTTCAGTAATGATCATGGAAATGTAAATCAAAACCACAATGCAATGCCACCTTACTCCTGCAAGAACGCCATAATTAAAAAATCAAAAAATAATAGATGTTATGGTGGAGGAGGTGAGGGACACTTTTACACTGCTGACAGGAATGTAAACTAGCACAACCACTATGGAAAACAGGGTGGAGATTCCTTAAAGAACTAAAAGGAGATCTATCATTTGATCCACCAATCCCACTACTGGGTATCTGCCCAGAGAAAAATAAGTCATTATATGAAAAAAACTCTTGCACACACGTGTTTATAGCAGCACAATTCACAATTGCAAAAATATGAAACCAGGCTGGGCACAGTGGCTCACACCTGTAATCCCAGCACTTTGGGAGGCCGAGGTGGGTGGATTATGAAGTCAGGAGATCGAGACCACCCTGGCTAACATGGTGAAACCCTGCCTCTACTAAAAATACAAAAAATTAGCCAGGCGTGGTGGCAGGCACCTGTAGTCCCAGCTATTAGGGAGGCTGAGGCAGGAGAATGGCGTGAACCCGGGAGGTGGAGCTTGCAGTGAGCCAAGATCGTGCCACTGCACTCCAGCCTGGGTGACAGAGTGAGACTCCATCTCAAAAAAAAAACAAAAAACAAAAAACAACCAATGCCCATCATCTGGTTGATAAAGAAAATGTTATATATATATAAATGTTATATAGATGTGTGTGTGTGTGTGTGTGTGTGTGTGTGTATAGATATACCACTGAATACAACTCAGCCAAAAATAGGAAAGAAATAATGGTATTCCCAGCAACCTGGATGGAATTGGAGACCATTACTTTAAGTGAAGTAACTCAAGAATGGAAAATCAAACATCATATGTTCTCACTTATAAACAGGAGCTAAGCTATGACAACACAAAAACATAAGAATGTTACAGTGGACCTTGTGGAACTTAGATGGAAGGGTGGAAAGGGGTGAGGAATAAAAGACTACACATTGGGTACAGTGTACACTGCTCAGGTGATGGGCACACCAAAATTTCAGAAATCACCATTAAATCACTTATCTGTGTAACCAAGCACCACCTGCTCCCCAAAAACTATTGAAATAATAATAAAACAAAAGAAAACAAACAAAAAGAAAACAGGAACATATACACCATGGACTGCTACTCAGCCATAAACAGGAATGAAACTATGTCATTTCAGCAACTTGGATGGAACTGGAGGCCATTATTCTCCGTAAAGTAACTCAGCAATCTACAAGCAAATAGTGCACCATCTCACCTAGAAGTGAAAGCTAAGCTATGGGTCCACAAAAGCATGCAGTGTAATATACTAAACATTAGAGACTCAGAAGTGGGGAAGGTGAGAGGAGGGTGATGGAGGAAGAAACTGCCTGTTGAGTAAAATGTAAACTGAGTGATAAGTGCACTAAAATCCCAGACTTCAGCACTATACAATTCATCTACGGAACGAAAGACAACTTGTACTCCTAGAGCTATTGAAACACATTTTAAAAAATTTAACAACAAAATAATAATAATAAGCTCGAATCTTAAAACACTAATACGAACTTATTTTGTAAGTACTGATATCATGGAAACTATTGTTCTGTGTGCCATACCTACATTGAATTGGGCACTAATTTCTACTATAGGTATCACAAAAGTCTTTTAGCAGTATATTTGAATAGAATTCACAACTACACAATTTATCCATGGAACCTGAAGCCACAGGTACCCCTACAAATATTGAAATAACAAAATATATTCAATGTTTTCTTAGCTCTGCTGTGACCTCGGGTCAGCAGGTCAGTGAGGTCAAAGCTGGCTTCTCAGGACCTCGTGGCATTCCCATCATGGGCAACGGCAGGATAGCTCAGCTCAGGTGTCCCTTCCACCTTCATAGGGGAAAAGGAGCTTGAGGGGGCTGAGGGGGAGCACCAGCGACAGTCACGTGATTCTTTTCTCAGGAAAGCTTTGGCTTATCCGGAGCCAAACCTGCTGGAGGCTACGAGAAGATTTTCACGAGTGTCACTTTTGGGGAGAAAATGTCAGAGGAGAATCCCTGACAGAGAAGTGACCATTTCAAATTTTTCAAATTTCCATACCCCCCCGCCCACCCCGCTCCCGGAACACTTCATTCTCAAAGGAACTGATAAAATCTCATGATCTCATGCATTGGTGTTTTGAAGCAGATGTGCAAGTTGGCTAACTTTCGACTTTATTAAAAAAAATTTTTCACTGTCAATATTTCCATGATGATGGAGAAAATGTAAACTTTCAGACTCTCTTTCACACCTAGAACTTTAGGTGACCCACCCACCTACCATCCCTCCCACAAGGCGCACTCCAGAAGGTTCGTTCTCCATTGGGTGTGTGCAGAACCCAGGGACTTGATTGGGTTTTCACAGCCCTGATTAGGTTGAGGATCTAGTGGAGCAGGAAGTACAATGGAAGGGAGCTGGGTGGGTCTAATCCAATCATCTGAGCTCCTTATAAGAGGCAGGGTTTTACTGAGACCACAGAGATCTCCAGTCAGAAAGAGACTGCCTGCGAGGGAGATTCCTGGCTGCTGCTTTGTAGACCAAGGAAACCCAGGACCCTCCGGAAAGACTAAGCAGCGCGGCCTCCGACCCACAGACCTGAGGGCTGGTAAGTGTGGGGCTGGGTTGGCAGGGGCTAAGTGTGTGGGAGAGTCATGCGCATGGATCTCAACTCACAGGCTCTCTGAATCCTGTCCACAGCACCACTGCCCTCGCTCTCTGACGCCAGCACCGCCTGCAGCCGGCCAGGCTCAGCCCAAGGACAGGGGAGAGGCTAAGGCCCCGCGACATGGCGCGCACCAAGCAGACCGCCCGCAAAGCCACCGCCTGGCAGGCCCCCAGGAAGCCCCTGGCCACCAAAGCAGCCGGAAAAAGGGCGCCGCCTACAGGAGGGATCAAGAAGCCTCACCGCTACAAGCCTGGCACCCTGGCGCTGCGGGAAATCAGAAAGTACCAGAAGTCCACGCAGCTGCTCCTGCGCAAGCTGCCCTTCCAGCGCCTGGTGCGCGAGATCGCCCAGGCCATCAGCCCGGACCTGCGCTTCCAGAGTGCGGCCATTGGCGCCCTGCAGGAGGCCAGCGAGGCCTACCTGGTGCAGCTCTTTGAAGACACCAACCTGTGTGCCATCCATGCCAGGCGCGTCACAATTATGCCCCGAGACATGCAGCTGGCCCGCCGCCTCCGCAGAGAGGGTCCTTAAGAGCCCAAAGGTAGCTAAGCATAGGATTGGGAGTGGAAACAGGCAGAAATCAGGTCTTGGTGGTGTTTCTGTGTGCTTTTGTTTGTTAATGTCTAATCTACCTTGAGGGTCATAAGGCACTAGTGTCAGGTGGGAATGTTTCAGTGAGCGAGTTTCAGCACTTCAGCTCTACATCAATTTTCAAGAAACCTGTTCATTTTCACTGGACTATGCCTGTGTTTAGACTACTTCAAACCAAATAAATCTCTTCCTGATGGCAACTCAGTGATGTTTGTTTAACTTGATCAGTAGATGAGATCCACACTTTGACTTTTCCTGTATGCAGCTCTGTGTTTGCAATGTTCCCTGTGTCATGGGCTGTTTCTACTAGTTTGCTATGAACACACATTCAACTCCACTTTCTAAAATACGAATAGACTGTATCCACAAGTCACTTCACATTATGGGAGGCAGTGTGGGTGTGTTCCTGGGTAGGAAAGGGAAAGAGGCAGCCTTTAGAAGTTTGATACTGTCCATCTCTGGCAGTTCAGCGTCCTAGAATATGGTCGCATCCATGGCCATGACTGGAGTGACCCAGGTCTTGGTAGGGGAGGTAGTAGGAGAGGCCTTGGAAGTGTATGAGACGTGGGGAGACACGCCCCCGCTGCAGCCCAACCATTTGAGGCAGGCTGTCTGCAAGTTCAAGTTTAAGGGCCACTTTTTATTATTATTATTATTACATTTTTTTATTATTTTATTTTATTTTATTTTTTTGAGACGGAGTCTCACTGTCTCCCAGGCTGGAGTGCAGTGGCGCGATCTCAGCTCACTGCAAGCTCCGCCTCCCGGGTTCACGCCATTCTCCTGCCTCAGGCTCCTGAGTAGCTGGGACTACAGGCGCCCGCCAACATGCACAGCTAATTTTTGTATTTTTAGTAGAGACAGGGTTTCACCATGTTAGCCAAGATGATCTCGATTTCCTGACCTCGTGATCTGCCCACCTTGGCTTCCCAAAGTGCTGGGATTACAGGCATGAGCCACCATGCTCAACCAATTTTTTTCTTTTTTTGAGATGGACTCTCGCTCTGTCGCCAGGCTGGAGTGCAGTGGCGCGATCTTGGCTCACTGCAATCTCTGACTCCCTGGTTCAAGCGATTCTCCTGCCTCAGCCTCCCGAGTAGCTGGGACTACAGCCACGCGCCACCATGCACAGCTAATTTTTGTACTTTTAGTAGAGACGGGGTTTCACCATGTTGGCCAAGATGGTCTCGATCTCCTGACCTCGTGATCTGCCTACCTCGGCCTCCCAAAGTACTGGGATTACAGAGGGCCACATTTTTAACAAGTACCAAAAAATCATGTGATTTTAGACTCAAGGCCAGAAAAGAAATCCTGGGGGGAAACATACTTGTTCCATGTTCCCTATGACAGAAGACTTTGTGTGCCAGAGCTTCAGTGTCTCAATCTACCCTGAATTTACCCACAATTTTTATATCTTCCTCAAACTCTTAAATTGGCCACACCTAGATGAAGGAAGCAACCTATTTCATTATCACTTTGACTAAATATTTGGATCGTTTCTGACATCTGAGTTTTTTCTACATCTTCCTATTTGGAAGAATAAACTTGTATGGGCCTTTTGCACCCTCTGGACAGCAAACTGCTTTGAAAGATAAACCACTTCCAAGAGACTATGGTGATTTCACATTGAAGACAGAAGTTGCTCTGCCTTAGGACTTTGCTTTTTCTGGGTTTTATTTTCTTATCATGATCAGTTACTAGTTCATATTTTCTGTTGAATTTTTTTAAAGGCATTATTGATGAGATTATGGCTTTCTCACAAAAAATATTACTTTGGTGAAAGTGGATTGAAATTAACAGAACTTAAATTTTTCAATGCTTTTCAAGTACAAGAGTTGAACATGGCATGGTTAGGTGAGGGAGTAGGAGGTAGATTTTGACAAACACGATTTTTTCAATTTAGATGATTTCAAATGTTTTGTTTTTATCCAAACTACAGAAAATTTTAATAAGTTGTCAATTCAAAGGTCATTACAAAAAAAAATTTGAAGCTAAATCACAATGTAATTTTTGAATTACGATCTCAAAAAATTTGAATAACTGGATGGCATTGCTGTGACAAAACAAGGTTTTTCAGCTCTTTCATCTTTAAAAACAAAAACCTGATGCGGAATCATCTCGTTTTACCAAACACTAGTATGCTCCCTTGAATATGTGCCTAAGAAAAATGAATTAAAAACAAAAAAACTTCATCTACCTCATTAATAGGTTCATATAAAAGAAAATATTTTCTTATAAAATAGACTGCTAGATATTCCTATACTCGGCACTAACTCGAAATTATATGACGTGTCTCTCCAATATTCATGATAGTTATTAAACTATTACAAAGATCTGACTCCATTCATTTTGTGAGAGCATGGCCCCCTTCTCCGCCATATATGAAAGTTACCACTCTACTTTGTATCCTTCTTCATAGAAAACATAACACCATCAAATTATTATTTAAACTTGTCTAATTGGGGTACAAGTTTGTTTAGTTGTACTTTTGAAGATCAGACCCTAGATACTACACACTTGGAAACAGTGCAGCTAGATTGTTTAAACTTTATTTGGGCACAGACTAAGTACTTTTGGGGGGCAAAGGCAGGCAGGGCGGATGTTAAGGTTATTTCAGAGTGATCCTAAATTATTGAAAATAACTGTGAAGTTGTAGGCCATATGCGGTGGGTCACACCTGTAATCCCAGCACTTTGAGAGGCGAGGCGGGTGGATCTCTTGAAGTCAGGGGTTCAAGACCAGCTTAGCCAACATGGTGAAACTCCATCTCTACTAAAAATACAAAAATTAGCCAGTGTGGTGGCACATGCCTGTAATCCCAGCTACTCTGGAGGCTGAGGCAGGAGAATTGTTTGAACCTGGAAGGCAGAGGTTGCAGTGAACCAAGATCATGCCACTGTATGCCAGCCTGGGCAACTGAGCAAGTCTCCATCAAAAAAACAAAAAAAGAAAAAAAGAAAGCAGGGAAGGACGGGGAGGGGAGAGGAAGGGAGGGGGAGGGGGAGGGGAGGGGAAGGGAGGAGGATGGGAGGGGGAGGGGAGGGGGAGGGGAGGGAAGGGGAGGGGAAGGGAAGGGAAGGGTAAAAGGAAGGAAAGAAAGAAGGAAAGACAGAAGAAAGGAAAGAAAGAAAGAAAGAAAGAAAGAGAAAGAAGCTGCGAAGTGTAGTCCCTTCATTTGTTAGTCATCTCCTCACTACCTGACCAGTTCCAACCAGAGGCCACATTTTTCTAGGCAGTCTCCAAATGCACATTATGAGGTAGACTTTAATAATGGCAGTGAAGCTCCAGGAAAACTTACATTGTTATTAACATGTAATACAACCAGCCATGAAAGCTGTCAAAGATTTTTCCTGGAAAGATATCACTTTCTACAAATTTTCTTCTTGAGAACTGTGGCTATATGATATTACATATTGAGAAGATTTAGAATGTGTAGGGGCACTGAACCTTCTCAGAGAATCCATTTTTCCTCTTTGAAAAAACAACACTGTGTTTCTGCTCCTGAACTGACCTGACCTCTGAGACCTTGATGGGATCTTGTTTCTGTCTTCAGCAGTTCAGCTTTACTCAGACCACGAAAAGCATTGAGTTCTACGTGGGGGCCAGAAAAACATTCTAACCTTGTGTGTCCAATCACTACTCTCACTGCTATCTGTAGATTTTTGTCCCACCTCAGGTTGCTTGGGCAAGGTTCTCTTTACTTCTAGTGTTCAGAGAGCACTAGGCCTGCCACATCTGCCAGAACACAGCTTCCAAGACTCCCCAGTGCCATGGAAAAAGGAATGAGATGAGAGCAGTATAAAGCCTGGGTGATATTGAGACCCTTGGATCTTACTTATTTTGGTTGCTCAAGCACTTTAATTTCTGAGAGAGCCCTCCCAACTCCATGAGTTCTTCCAAGAATCTGTACCCTCCATATCCCTCCCTTAGACCCAGTAGTCTAACTTGTTATATGCCTTTACAAGGAAGTTGGTAAAATAAAATGAAAGCTATGTAATGTCAAAATATGGTGGTGTGAAACAGAATTTCCCCATCCTTGTTAAAGTTTAAAAGTTTCTGTAATACTCACCCAATCAAAGATAGGTTCTATGTACCATAAGTACCATTTTAAGAGCTAAAGCTAAGTTTAAAAATAAATAAAGTAACAGTTTTGAGGGGGTCTATTTGGCTTCAGGAAAAAATAATTGATGTTACTCTCTGTTCAATATTAGAACTGAACTGGAAGGGGTTTTAGATCCTTTTTGCTCATATTCTATGATTTAGGGGGCACAGGGCAAAGGTAAACAGGCTGAACTAGCACCGTCAATATCTGCGAGTTGTGCTGGGAATGTTCACAATGATTTGATAATAAATCTCAGGTCTTTATTTTATGATGGAAAAGTCTTCTTTGCCATAATAAAGGTAAAGTAGAGTATGTACAAGGAGACTATGGGATAACTTTATAACTCCTGATGAACCTACTTTGTTCCATATCTCAATAATTTATTTTTTATGTTGCTGTACTCAGGTTCAATTCTATGAGCAGATTGCCTCTAGAAAGCATAAAATCAAGAATACTCTGTAACAGTGTTTTAAACTAAATTTGGGTGCCTATAGAAGCACTGGTAATATTACCACGTGAAGCAAACCTGCAGGATCAATAGGCTCTCTCTATATGTGTCTTTTAAACTGTGGATGATATTACAAATGGGTGTTCACAGACAGGTGGTTTTTGGAATCTGTTTCTCTCTCTCTAGTCTTATAAGATTCTCCTATACTATGTTAATTTCCAATAATGTAGACAATCAACTTGCTGACATAAAGCAAAGTAGGGAGGAATACCTATGAGAACAGTCAAATAAGAGAAAATAATGCTTTGTGATTTTGTTTTTATTTCCTCAGGTTGGAAACAGTTCAATGATGACCCAAAAAAATCCATAAAAGTATTTAAAATACATACAAGGACAACAATTGCAGTGCTCCTGCTCAGACACAGCCTTCAGGGCACAAGAACACAAGAGAAAAGTCTCTGCAGGCTTCATTTATTGATACCAGACATAATCATAAAAGCTAAGACACAGCAACTCCAGGCTTCAGTATAAAACCATACAAGTCCCCTGGAAGAGATTTCCCTCTCTGAAAGCATCTCCCTGCCCACAAAAAACTCAAGGCCCATGTACCCATCTTCTTCCAACTAGGCAAACACAGAAAAATGCCTCTATATGCCCTAGGAAGCCCAAATATTTAGTCGAAGTGATTATGAAACAAGCCACTGTCTTCATCTAGGGAAGGCCAGTGTCAGAGTTTGAGAAAGACATTAAAGTCATGGGTAAATCCAGGGTGGACTGAGATGCAGAAGCTCCAGCAAACACAGTCCTGTCATTGGAAGATGAATGCAATACTTATTCCTGCACAAACAGACCTTTCCCTCTGGCCTTGGGCCTAAAAGAACATATTTTTTTTTTGTAGTTGCTGTTGGGGAAGAAGCCCTTGGGCTTTAACCTGTGAACAGCCTCCCTTAAATGCTTGGGATGCAGCGGGGGCGTTTCTCCCCCATCTCACACATGTCCAGGGCCTCTTGCACCACCTCTCCAACCAAGACCTTGGCTATTCCAGCCATGGCAATGGCCGCGTTCTCAGACACCGATCTGCCAGTGATAGACTGCATCAGAGCTGCAATGCGTGCTTTTGGGAAAGCTGACCGGCGACACACTTCGTAGCGGGCCAGCTGCTCCTCAGACATGGCAGAAAGCAGGGTTGTCATCCTCTGAGCCTCCTCTGCATCCACACTGGGCTTCCTCTTCTTCTTTCCTTTGGTATCTGTTTTCCATTTTTTGGCTGCAGGAGGAACTGAGGCTGAGGCTTCTTTGTCACCTGCTCTGAGAACCAAGATGTCCTGACTCCTGAGCTCACCTTCCTGATCCCTGGGTTCTTCCAAGTTCCCATCTAGGCCCTCAGGGATTCCATCCTTGTTGCTGCCCTTCAGAACTCGGGGCATGGTGAACATCTCAGCAGACACACCTGTTTGTCTGCCTGCCACCATGGGCGAGATGCAGATATGGTCCACGGCAGCGCTGTAGAGGCAGAAGTTCCAGCTAAGGTGGTTTGATTATGGATCTGCAATGAGAACCTTTCAAAGATTTTAGCTACTGTGTTTCTTCTGAGCCATAGTTCAGCCACAACTAGGCACGGCTCCCTGCCTCCCCCTCCCCCATACAAAAATACAGACTGGTTTTTCTGACTTCCACAATGTGAAGAAACTTGTGTATGGAGAGTATATTAGTTTTAGATCAATGCATAATAAATTCTCACTCCTAGAGATGTCACTCAGGTGTGGGCTGTGGGGATCTCTGGATCTGCACAGCCACTGCTGGGGACTCTCGAGTGGGGAAAAATTTCTCTCTGCCTGGAGATCTCTGTGATCTTAGGGAGGTTCAGTTCCTTATAAAGAGCTCAGATGATTGGATCAGGCCCAGCACTTAATGTCCATTGGTTCAGGGTATCCCTAATCTAATCAGGGATTTGTGAGCTAATCAATTCATGATTCCGCCCACACTCAAGGGATGGTCAGATGCAGGGTGTGTCTCCAAGGGGCAGGAAATGTGTGGGGCATTTAAGAATTCTGTGTGCCTCACAGAATCTCAGAGTTTACATTTCACAACAATAAAGAAAACATTTACAGTAAAAATTACATATTTTATGAAGTTGCACATTAGACAACTTAAATGTCGGAGCAAAGAAACCCCAGGGTTGTAAGGCACTAGTGTCAAGTGGATGTGTCTCAGTGAGTGAGTTTCAGAAGTTTACATCAATTGTTAAGAAATCGGTTCATTTTCACATAGTCCATTTCACTGGACTATGCCTACATTTAGACTACTTCAAACCAATTAAATTTCTTCTTGATGGCAACTCAATGTTTGTTACACTTGAACAAAACAGTAGGTGAGATCCACACTTTGACTTTTGCTATATGCAGCTATGTGTTTCCAAAGTTCCCTGTTTCCTAGGCTGTTCCTGCTAATTGGCTATGAACATACATTCAACTCTACTTTCTGAAATGTGAATAGAGTCTCTATCCAAAAGTCACATCACATTAAAGGAGGAAGAAAACCCAGTGTGGGTCTGTTCGTGGATGGAAAAGGGAGAGAGG
Organism: Homo sapiens; assembly: GCF_000001405.40. NCBI lineage: Eukaryota > Metazoa > Chordata > Mammalia > Primates > Hominidae > Homo > Homo sapiens. Next base: position 17,647,938 of record NC_000005.10, on the reverse strand, counting down.
CACACTTTAGAAGTCTGATGAAGTCCATCGCTGGCAGGTGGATGCCCTAGAATGAGGTAATGGCTGGGATGACCCAGATTTTGATCAGCAAGGTGGTAGGGAAGGCTGTGGACATATGTGCGATGTGGGGAGACATACCGCCACTGCAATCCAAGCATTGGAGGGAGGCCTTTAGCAGGCAACAGCCCAGGGGCCACTTCCCAAACACTGAGTACAAAAAAAATTCATCTCCCTCTGGACCTCAGCTTAGATAGAAAGGCCTGATCTTAAAGAAGAAATTACTCATCCCAGTCTTTCTATGACAGGATCCTCTGTGGGCTGGAGCTTCAGTACCTCAGCCCATCCTGGATTTACCCATGATTTGACATCTTTCTTAAGTCTTGGAAGATGGAGGTTGCAGTGAGCTGAGATGGCGACACTGCCCTCCCACCAGGCTAAGAGAACAAGACTCTGTCTAAAAAAAATAACAATTATCATCATCATATTTGGATCTCTGAGGTCCATGAATGGGCAGGCATTGTTCTGGGTCTTCCTAGTTGAGGGAAGAAAGGTGCATGGCCCTTGAACATCCTGTGGATAGGGAGCTGTTTCAGAGAGAAAAAAGAAACCCTTTTAAGAGACTATGGTGGAATTTTTAACTCCAGAACAACTGCAAGAATAAACCAGGAATCCCGAGAGGACCCACAGACCCTCTAAAGGAAGTGGACTGCTCCTGCAGGACCTGAAGACGCCCCAGATACTGTGCTCGTATCCGCAGCTGAGAGACCTATAGATGGTTCACATCACAGGACTTTGTGCAGAAAACTTCCAGTACCAGCCTGGAACCTTAGACTTCCTGGGTGGCTAGATCCAGAAGAAAGATAGCAATCAATGCAGCTTGGCTCACAGGAAGCCACATCCATAGGAAAAGGAGGAGAGTACTACATCAAGGGAACACCCTGTGGGGACAAAATAATCTGAACAATAGCCTTCAACCCTATACGTTACCTCTGGCAGAGCCTACCCAGATGAGAAGGGACCAGAAAACTAACTCTGGCAATATGACAAAACAAGGCTCTTTAACACCCCCAAAAAATCACACTAGCTCACCAGCAATGGATCCAAACCAAGAAGAAATCCCTGATTTACCTGAAAAAGATTCAGAAGTTTAGTTATTAAGCTAATCAGCGAGGGACCAGAGAAAGACAAAGCCCAATGCAAGGAAATCCAAAAAGTGATACCAGCAGTGAGGGGAGAAATATTCAAGGGAATAGATAGCATACAGAAAAACAATCAAAACTTCAGGAAACATTGGACAAACTTATAGAAATGCAAAATGCTCTGGAAAGTCTCAGCGATAGAATTGAACAAGTAAAAGAAAGAAATTCAGAGCTTGAAGACAAGGTCTTTGAATTAACCCAATCCAGCCGTGGGTCAAAAATGAAATCAAGATGAAAATTAAAACATTCTTTGAACTGAATGACAAAAATAAAACAACCTATCAAAACCTCTGGGATACAGCCAAGGTGGTGCTAAGAGGAAAGTTCATAGCCCTAAACACCTACATCAAAGACTGAAAGAGCACAAACTTACATTCTAATGTCACACCTCAAGGAACTAGAGAAAGAAGAAGAAGCTAAACTCAAACCCAGAAGAAGAAAGGAAATAACCAAGATCAGAGCAGAACTAAATGAAATTGAAACAAAAAAAAAATATGAAAGATAATTGAAATAAAAAGCTGGTTCTTTGAAAAGATAAATAAAATTCATAAACTTATTAACAAGATTAATCAAGAAAAGAAGAGAGAAAATACAAATAACCTCATTAAGAAACAAAACAGGAGGTATTACAACTGACACCACTGAAATACAAAAGATCATTCAAGGCTACTATGAACACCTTTACTCACATAAACTAGAAATCCTAGAAGAAATGTATACATTCCTGGAAAAAATACAACCCTCCTAGCTTGAATCAGGAAGAATTAGATGCCCTGAACAGACTAATAACAAGCAGCAAGATTTAAATGGTAATTTAAAAATTACCAAAAAAATGTCCAGGACCAGATGGATTCACAGCAGAATTCTACCAGACATTCAAAAAAGAATTGGTACCAATCCTTTTGACAGTATTCCACAAGATAAAGAGGGAACCCTCCCTAATACCTTCTATGAAGCTTGTATCACCCTAATACCATACCAGGAAAGGACATAACCAAAAAAGAAAACTACAGACTGATATCCCTGGTGAACATAGATGCTAAAATCCTTAACAAAATATTAGCTAACCAAATCCATAAACATATCAAAAAGATAATCCACCATGATCAAATGAGTTTCATACCAGGGATGCAGAGATGGTTTAACATGCACAAGTCAATAAATGTGATACACCACATAAACAGAATTAAAAACAAAAATCACATGATCATCTCAATAGATGCAGAAAAAGCATTTGACAAAATTCACCATCGCTTTATGATTAAAACTGTCAGCAAAATCAGCATACAAGGGACACACTTCAATGTAATAAAAGACATCTATGACAAGCCAACAGCCAACATAATACTGAATGAGGAAAAGTTAAAAGCATTCCCTCTGAGAACTGGAACAAGAAAAGGATGCCCACTCTTACCACTCGTCTTCAACATAGTACTGGAAGTCCTAGCCAGAGCAATCAGTCAAGAGAAAGAAATAAAGGGCATCCAAATTGGTAAACAGGAAGTCACACTGTCACTGTTTGCAGGTGATATGATCATTTACCTCAAAAACCCTAAAGACTCCTTCAGAAAGCTCCTAGAACTAATAAAATAATTCAGCAAAGTTTCCAGATACAAGATTAATGTACACAAATCAGCAGCTCTTCTATACACCAACAGCAACCAAGCAGAGAATCAAATCAATAACAACCCCTTTTACAATAGCTGCAAAAAATTAAATACTCAGGAATATACCTAAACAAGGAAGTGAAAGACCTCTACAAGGAAAACTACAGAACACTGCTGAAAGAAATCATAAATGACACAAACAAATGGAAACACAATCTATGCTCATGGATGGATAGAATATTGTGAAAATGACCATACTGCCAAAAGCAATCTACAAATTCAATGCAATCCCCATCAAAATACCACCATCATTATTTATAGAATTAGAAAAACTAATTCTAAAAGTCGTATGGAACCAAAAAAGAGCCCACATAGCCAAAGCAAGACTAAGCAAAAAGAACAAATTTGGAGGCATCACACTACCTGATTTGTAGCTATACAATAAGGCAATAGTCACCAAAACAGCATGGTACTGGTATAAAAATAGGCTCATAGACAATGGAACAGAATAGAAAACCCAGAAATAAGCCCAAATACTTACAGCCAACTGATCTTCAACAAAGCGAACAAAAATATAAAGTGGGGAAAGGACACCCTTTTCAACAAATGGTGCTGAGAAAATTGGCTAGTCACATGTAGGAGAATGAAACCGAATCCTCATCCTCATCTTTTTTTTTGTTTTTTTTTTTGTTTGTTTTTTGTTGTTATTTGTTTTGTTGTTGTTGTTGTTATTTTTGAGATGGAGTCTCGCTCTGTCACCCAGGCTGGAGTGCAGTGGCATATCTCAGCTCAGTGCAAGCTCCACCTCTTAGGTTCACGCCATTCTCCTGCCTCAGCCTCCCAAGTAGCTGGGACTACAGGCGCCTGCCACCACACCTGGCTAATTTTTTGTATTTTTAGTAGAGAGGGGTTTCACCATGCTAGCCAAGATGGTCTCGATCTCCTGACCTCGTGATCCGCCTGCCTCGGCCTCCCAAAGTGCTGGGATTACAGGCATAAGCGACCGCGCCCAGCTGGATCCTTATCTTATACATGAGGATCCTCACCTTATACAAAAATCAACTCAAGATGGATAAGGACTTAAATCTAAGACCTGAATCTATAAAAATTCTAGAAGATAACATTGGAAAAACCCTTCTAGGCATTAGCTTAGGCAAGAATTTCATGACCAAGAACCCAAAAGCAAATACAATGAAAACAAAGATAACCTAGTTGGGACTTAATTAAACTAATTTTTTTGCCAGCAAAAGGAACAGTCAGCAGAGTAAACAGACAACCCACAGAGTGGGAGAAAATCTTCACAATCTATACAATTTGACAAACAACTAACATCCAGAATCTACAATATACTCGGAAAAATCAGTAACAAAAAACAAACAATGCCATCAAAAAGTGGGCTAAGGATATGAATAAACAATTCTCAAAAGAAGATATTCAAATGGACAACAAACATATGAAAAAATGATCAACATCATTAATAATGAGAGAAATGCAAATCAAAACCACAATGTGATACCACCTTACTCCTGCAAGAATGGTCATAATCAGAAAATCAAAAAACAGTAGATGTTGGCGTGGATGTAGTCATCAGGAAACACTTCTACACCACTGGTGGGAATGTAAACTAGTACAGCCACTATGGAAAATAGTGTGGAGATTCCTTAAAGAAAAAAAAATTATAGGTGTCAAACCGATAATGTCTCCTGTGATTGATCAAACAGTAGATGAGATCCACACTTTGGCTTTCTCCATATACAGTTCCATGTTTGCAATGTTCTCTGTCGCCTGGGCTGTTCCTCCTAGTTTGCTATGAACATACATTGATCTCTACTTTCTACAATATGAATAGACGATGTATCCACAAGTCACTTCACATTAGGGTTGGCAGAATAACCAGTGTGGGTGTGTCTGTGGTGGGAAAGGGAGAGAGGCATCCTGTAAAAGTCTGATGCATTCCATCAGGTGCAGGTCAGTGTCCTAGAACCAGGTTACTGCCGTGGACATGGCTGTAATGACCCAGGTCTTTGTCGGGGAGGTGGTAGGAGAAGCCCTGGACGTGTGTGAGATGTGGGAAGAAGCCCCAGTTACACCCCGGACATTGGAAAAAGGCCTTTCACAGGGGACAACCCAGGTACTGTTTCCCCAACATCCAGTACAAAAAAAAATCATCATCTTCCTCTGGGAAGATATTGGTATCACCCAGATGAAGGCAGCAGCTGGTTTCAGAATCCCTTCAAATCATGTTTATATTTCAGACCAGGCACAATGGCTCATTCCTCTAATTCCAGCACTTTGGGTGGCCGACAGGGGCAGATCGATTGAGCTCAGGAGTTCCTGTCCAGGCCAGGAATCTTGGCAAAACTTCCTCTCCAAAAAGAAATTAGGTGGTGTGGTTGCTGGTGCCTGTGGTTTCACCTACTCAGAGGCTGAGGTAGAAAGATCGATTGAGCTCTGGAGGTGGAAGTTGCAGGGAGCCAAATCGACATCACTGACCTTCCACCTGGTCAACAGAGTAAGACTCTGTCTCAAAAAACTAACAATCATTGTCATTATATTTGGTTCTCTGAGGTCCATGCATGAGCGGGGTCTTTCTGGGTCTTCCTAGTTGGAGGAAGAAAGGTACATGGGCCTTGGGCATGCTGTGGACGGGGAGCTGTTTTCAGAGAGAAAAAAGACATCCTTTTAAGAGACTGTGCTGGATTCACACTAAATCCTGAAGTTACTATGACTTTGGATGTTTTTGCTCAAATGTGATTTTGAAGAGATAAAACAAACAGTAAGTCTTCCAATACTCTATCTAGAAAGTCCCGGGCTTTCTAAAGGCACTGGAATAGGTACTTTGTAAACATTTAATGCTTTTCCATAATTTTCCTGGGAAATCAACCAACTGTTTTTCAGCTTGCAAAATAAAAATGAAGTTAAAAATTAGTTTTTCCTATAAAATGGGATATTCACATTTGGACCAAGATTGTTTTAATTCACGGAGTGATCTTTCATGATGTTAGGGTGGTAACACACTCTAGGAGCTGCATGAAAAACTACACAGAGAAACACAAACCCCAGAGACCCTGTCTAATCTCTTCATTCATTTCCACGCCTTCACCTCCAAAGACCTGTTCCCAATGTAAACTATATTAATGGCTGAAATAACAGATTGGTGTGTGTTTTGTGCTTGTCTAAAACAGAACTGCATACAATAACAATATATTGTTATACTAGATGATGTTTTATTTTTAGTTTATTTTTCAGATTATTGTATTAAAAAATATAACGTCCTCTTACTGTAGGATTTGAGCATTAAATATTTTGTGTAATTGAAGCCTATTTGTAATTGTACTGACATGTAATTGCCAAATACCCATTATATAATATAAACAGTAATAAATATATAGCAAAAATAAAATGGAGCTCCAGTTTTCAGGGTGACACCTAAGGAAATTCAATGTCATCACTCTAACTTCACAATCAGAAAAAAACTGAAAATGCAAAGCATCAATATCTCCTTTGAAATCTCTCTGAGTGATGATGTCAGAGGCAAATACAAAGGGAAAATAAAAAGATTTCATGGTTTTTTATCTTCAAAGTATGCTACCAAGCTGTAGGAATCAAAATGGCAAGACATTGGGATAAAAACAGACACCTAAGCCACTGGATCAGAGCAAAGAGTCTAGAAATCAGTCCATACATATACAGGCAACTGATTGTTTAAAAAGGTGCCAACAACCCACCACCACAATACCACAGTTTCTTCCATCAATGGTGATAGGAAAACTCGGTATCCACATGAAGAAAAATGAAATTTGACCCCTATTTCATACTGTACACAAGAGTAAATCAAAATAAATTAAAAACTTGAAACTATAAACCAACTAGAAGAAAACAGGGGACATCCTCATTGACACTGGTTAAGCCAATAACTTTTGGAATATGACCCAAAAGCACAGACAATGAAAAGGTGAATAGACAAATGGATGGCAACCAACTTAAAAAAAAATCTGCAAAGCCGACAAAACAATCAACACCGTGAAGAGGTAAAATCATAATGAGAGAAAATATTTTCAAACCCAACATCATATAAGGGATTAATTACTGTCCAAAATACTCTAGGAACTCAAATGACTCAATAGCAAAAAACAACACAATTTAAAAACCTGGCAAAAGACCTAAATAACAAACATTTCTGAAAAGAAGACATACAGTAGCCAACAGGTATGTGTGTGTGTGTATATATATGTGTTCAACATCACTAATCATCAGAAATATGCAAATTAAAGCTGAAAGAAGATATCACCTCACACTCATTAGGATGTCTATGATCAAAAAGTCAAAAGACAACACTTGTTGATGAGGATGTGGAGGAAAGGGAACCCTTGCACTATTCATGGGAACGTAAATTAGGGCAGCCATTATAGAAAGCAGGATGGACATTCCTCCAAAAACGGAAAGAATAGAGCTACCATATAATCCAGCAATCCCACACTGCCAGGTATATACCAAAAGGAAATGAAATCAGTATTGAAGAGATATCTGCACTCCCAAGTTAATTCACAATAGCTAAGATATGGAATTCACCTAAATGTCCAAAAATGGATGACAGGATGGGATAAATCTGATATACATGCACAATGGAATACTATGCAGTCTTAAAGAAAGACGTGTTGTCATTTGTGACACACCGATGTACCTGAAGAACATCACGCTAAGTGAAATAAGCCAGGTGTAGGAAGACAAATACCAGGTCATCTCAATGATATGTGGAATCTCACAAAGTTAATCTAATAGATGTCAAAAAGAAGAATTCTGGTTGTCAGGGGCTGGGTGGCCATGGATGAAGGATTGAGAAGATGTTTGTCGAAATACACATTTCGTTTATATGGGGAGAATAAGCTCAAGGACTATATTACCACATGGTGACTATAGTTAACAATATATCGTATTCTTGAAAAATGCTATTAGCATGGATGTGAAGTGTTCTCACCACAATAATACATACGTCAGCTAATGGCTGTCAATTACCTAAATTAGATGTTAGACAATGTGCACATACTTTATAATAGCATTATGTACATAAGAAATATATACAATGAGATGTGCCTGTTTTAAATACAAATAAATAAATCAACAGTTGAGTGGTTGCAAGAGACCAAGGGTGAAGGGGGAGTGCATAGACGGGACACAGTGCATTTGTATGGAGGTGAAACTAGTCCATAGAATACAATAACGGTGGATACATGTAATTTTGCCTTTGCGTGAGTCCATAGAATGTACAACACCCAAGTGAATCCCTAAGGAGAGCTATGGTCTTGGAGTCAGAGAGATGTGTCCATGTAGGTTGAATGACTGTAGCCAATGTGCCCCTCTGGGGCAGAAAGTTGATAGTGAAGGGGGTATGCAGATGTAGGGAAAGAGGATACGGGGAACCCCTGTTCCTTCTGCCCAATTTTGCTGTGAACCTAAAGGTTTTCTACAAAAGTAGCTCTCCTTTTAAAACAGGAATGTGAACTTATTTTGTGAATATTGATTATCACTGGATTTCCTGTTCTGTGCATGGTCTGTGCATTGCATACAAGGGCATTAAATTTCTACTACAAGTATCAGAGAAGCCTGTTAATAGTGTATTGAAATAAGGGCCTTTTGTATGTGTGGTTTTTGTTTATTTGCTTGTTTGTTTTTGTCTGCTTTACTTTTTCTCATGCAGCCAGAGGTATGAAGGTAGCAGCTGTGACCTGGGTTCAGAAGTTCAGTGAACTCAGGGCCTTCACAGGGCTTCATGCCATTTTCAAAATGGGCAATGGAAACAAGGCTCAGCCCTGGCATCAAGGTAAAAAAGGAGCCAGGGTGCCTCAGTGACAGGCAGGGTGACAGAAGACTTTGTGTGCTGGAACTTCTGTATCTCAGTCTACCCTGGAATCACCCTCGATTTTAACATCTTCCTCAAATTCTGACATTCATCTCACCTAGATCGTTGAAGCAGCCTTTTTCATAATAACTTTCCCTAAATATTTTTTCCTCCTTGAGTGAATTGTCATTTTTCTACATCTTCATAGTTGGAAGAAGAAAAGTATATGGTCCTTGAGCATCTTCTGGACAGTGAACTGCTCTAAGAGAGAATCTCCTTCTAAGGGACTATGATGGTTTCACACTGAAGCCGGAAGCTGCTCTGCCTTAGGATTTTTCCTGAGTTTTACTTTTTTGTCATGATGAGTTGCTAGTTCATATTTTCTGCTGGATTTTTTAAAAAGGCATTACTGATGAGATTATGGCTTTCTCACAAAAATACTATTTTAGTGAAAGTATTTTGAAATTAACATGACCTGAATTTTCCAATACTTGTCAAGTACAATATTTGAACATCGCATAGTAGGTGAAAGTGTAAAAAGCAGAATTTGGCAAACACTATTTTTTCAATTTTGAGGGTTTCAGGTTTTTTGGTTTCAGCCAAACTAAAGAATGTCCTAATGAGCTGTCAATTCACAGGTCCATTACAAACAGTTTTGAAGCTAAATAACAGTGTAATTTTTGGAGTATAATTCTAAAGAAATTTGAATAATCTGGTGGTATTGCTAACACAAAACAAGGTTTTTCAGCTTTTCATCTTTAAAAACAAACAAAAACATGATGTGGAATTATCGCATTTTACCAAACAGCAGTATACTCCCTTGAATATGTGACTAAGAAAAACTAAGTAATTGGAAAAAAAAAATAAAGGAAACATCTCATCTGTCTCATTAATAGTTTCGTTGAGAAAAATTTATTTTTAAAAATATGCTAGCTATGTCTTGATATTTCTAGACATGACAATAAGTTGAACTTTCATGAATTGCCTCTCTAATATTTATGCTGCTTAAGAAACTATTCCCAAGATTTGACCACATTCATTTTATAAAAGCCCTGCCATCTTCTCCCCTATATATGTATACTAACATTCTGCTTTCTACCCTCTTCCATAGGAAACACAAATCCATCAATTGATCATTTTAGCCTTTCTAGTTTGGGTACAAAATTTTGTGAGTTGTACTTTTAAGCTTTGTACTTTATACTTCTAAAGACTAGACCCTAGACAATATGTGCTTGGGAAAAGTGGAGCTACCTTGCTTAACTTTATTTAGACATATGCTAATTACTTGTGGAGGGCAAAGGCAGACAGTGAAGATGTTAAGCTTATCCCAAAATAGTAAATTATGGAAAATAGTCAAGTACAGTCACTTTATTAGGTATCTTGTCACCACTTTACCAGCACCAAACAGAGACCACATTTTTCTAGGCAGTCTCCAAATGTACATTATGAGATAGACTTTAAGAACAGTAATGAAGCTCCAGGAAAAACTTCATTAACATGTAATACAATCAGTCATGAAAGCTGTCAAAGATTTCTCCTGGAAAGATACCACTTTCTACAGATTTCTTTCTTGAGAGCTGTGGCTGTATGATATTATATATTGAGAAGATTTAGTATGTGATTATTAAAAAGTCAGGAAGCAACAGATGCTGGCAAGGCTGTGGAGATATAGAAACACTTTTACAATGTTTATGAGACTGTAAATTAGTTCATCCATTGTGGAAGACAGTGTGGTGATTCCTCTAGTATCAGAAATACCGCTGGACCCAGCAATCTCATTACTGGCTATATACCCAAAGGATTGTAAATCATTCTACTATAAAAACACATACACATATATGTTTATTGCAGCACAGTTTACAATAGCAAAGAGTTGGAACCAACCCAAATGCCCATCAATGATAGACTGGATAAAGAACCTGTGGTATATATACACCATAGAATACATGGCAGCCATAAAAAAAGAATGAGCTCGTGTTCTTTGCCGTGACATGGATGACACTGCAAACCATCATTCTCAGCAAACTAACACAGGAACAGAAAACCAAACACCACATGTTCTCACTCATAAATGGGAGTTGATCAATGAGAATATATGGACACAGAGAGGGGAACATCACACAGCGTGGCCTGTCAGGGGGTGGGAGGCAAGAGAAAGGAGAGCATTAGGACAAATACCCAATGCATGCTGGGCCTAAAGCCTCGATGATGGGTTGATAGGTGCAGCAAACCACTAGGGCATATGTATACTTTTGTAACAAACCTGCACGTTCTGCACATGTATCCCAAAATTTAAAGGAAAAAAAAAAAAAGAATGTGTAAGGACACTGAACCTTCTCAGCTAATCCAATTTTCCTCTCTGAGAAAACAACGCTGTGTTCCAGCTCCTGAACTGACCTCTGAGACCTTGATGGGAACTTGTTTCTGTCTTCAGCAGTTCAGCTTTACTCAGACCCCACTCAAAGTATTGAGTTCTATCAGGGGCCAGAAAAATGTTCTAAGCTTGAGTGTGGAATCACCATCAGCACTGCTCTCTGCAGATGTTTGTCTCAACCTCAGGTTGCTTGGGCCAGGTTCTCTTTTCCTCTAGTGTTCTGAAAGGGCTCGACCTGCCACATCTGCCAGAATACAACTTCCAAGACTGCTCAATGCCATGAAAAAGGAATGAGCTGAGAGCAATATAAAGACTAGGAGATATTAAGTCTCTTGGATCTCACTTCTTTTGGTTGCTCAAGCACTTCAATTCCTGACAGAGCCCTCACATCTCCATCATTTCTTCCAAGAACCTGTACCCTCCTTGTGTCTCTAAGACACACTGGTCTAACTTGTTAAATGCCTTTACAAGAAACTTGGTAAAATAAAAGGAAAGCTAAACGATGTCAGAATATGGAGGTATGAAACATAATTTCCCCATACTTGGTAAAGTTTAGAAATTTGTGTGCTACCCAAAGGCAGATTCTATGTACAATAAGTCCTATATTAAGAGCAAAAGCTGAGTGTATGAGGAAATAAAAATATATTTCATGGGGGTATCTTTGGCTTCAGGAAGAAAGAGAACATGTTATTCTCCATTCAATATTAGAGCTGAACTATGGGGTCTTTTCGATCCTTTTTGCTTATACTCTGTGATTCAGGGGGCACATGGCAAAGGAAAACAGACTGAAATAGCACCATGGATATCTGTGAGCTGTGCTGGGAAGGTTCACGGTGATTCCATAATAAATCCCAGGTCTTTATTCTGTAATGAAAAATTACTCTTTTCCATCATAAAGGTAAAGCAGAGTATGTACAAGTAGAGTGTGGAATAACTTTGTCACTCGTGATGAACCTACTTGGTCCAATACTTTAACGACTTCTCCAATGTCTCTGTATTCAGGTTTGATTTCCTGAGTGGCTCATTAGTAGAATGAATAAAATCAAGACTCCTCTAAAGCAATGTTTGGAACTAAATTTTAGTGTCTCTGGAAGCCCTGGTAATATCACCATGTGTAGCAAACATGAAGTATCAGTAGGCTCTCTCTGTGCCTTTTAAACTACATATATGTTCATTACAAATGGCGGCTTGAGGAAAGGTGGCTTTGGAATTGGTTTCTCTCTAGTCTTACGTGATGCATCTATACTGTATCACATTTAATAAAGTAAAGGGTCACTTGCTGACATAAAGCACAGTAGGCAGGAATAGGAGAAGAGTCAACTTAGAGAAAAAAATGCTTTGTGATTTTATTTTTATTTCTGCAGTTTGGAAAACAGTTTAACTGTTTTTGTGATGACTCACAAAAATACAAAAGAGCATTGAAAATACAGAGAAGGACAACAATTGGGGAACATTTCTGGAGGCTTCACTTACTGAAACCCAGACATAAGCATACAAGCTAAGACACAGCAACACCAGGCTTCAGCATGAAACCATACAAATCTCCTGGAAAGGACTTCCCTCTCTGAATGCAGCTACCTGTCCACAGGATGCTCTAGGCCCAGGCACCTTTATTCTTCCAACTGGAAAGACATACAAAAATGCCACAATATGACCTCAGAGGCCCAAACATTTAGCCAAGGCTCCTATGAAGCAATCTGCTGTCTTCATCCAGGTAAGGCCAACTTCACATTTTAAGACACTATGATCATGGGTAAATACAGGGTAGACTGAGAGGCAGAAGCTCCAGCAAACACAGTCCTGTCATTGGAAGATGAATGCAGTACTTACTCCTGCAAAAACAGACCCTTCCCTCTGGCCTTGGGCCTAGAACATGACTTTTTTATAGTTGTTGGGGAAGAGGCCCTTGGGCTTTAACCTGCAAACAGCCTCCCTTAAATCCATGGGCTGCAATGGGGGCATTTCTCCCCACATCTCACACATGTCCAGGGCCTCTTCCACCACCTCTCCAACAAAGACCTTGGCTATTCCAGCCATGGCAATGGCCATGTTCTCAGGCACCGATCTCCCAGTGATAGACCACATCAGACGTGCAACAAGTGCTTTTGGGAAAGCTAACTGGCGACACACTTCATAGCGGGACAGCTGCTCCTCAGACATGGCAGACAGCAGGGTTGTCATCCTCTGAGCCTCCTCTGCATCCACACTGGGCTTCCTCTCCTTCTGGCCTTTGGTATCTGTTTTCTGTCTTTTGGCTGCAGGAGGAGCTGAGGCTGAGGCCTCATTGTCAACTACTGTGAGGTCCATGACATCCTCACTCCTGAGCTCACATTCCTGAGCCCTGGGTTCTTCCAAGTTCCCATCTAGGGCCTCAGGGATTCCATCCTCGTTGCAGCCCTTCAGACCTCGGGGTATGGCGAACATCTCAGCAGACACACCTGTTTGCCTGCCGGTCTCCATGGGTGAGATTCAGGTTGGCTCCATGACAGCAGCTGTAGAAGCAGAAGTTCCACCTGGGGTGGTTTGATTATGCATCTGAAATCAGAACCTTTCACAGATTTTAGCCGCTATGTTTCTGCTGAGCCATAGGTTAGCCACAACTGGACACAGCTCCCTGCCTCCCCTTTCCACACACAAACACATACACTGGTTTTCTCACTTCCACAATGTGAAGAAACTTGTGGATGGACAGTATATTAGTTTTAGATCAATGCAGAATCAATTCTCACCAATTTTGGATATTTAAAACAAACACCAGCTCACAGGTCAGAAGTTCTACTAGACCAAGTGACTGCCTCCTGCTCAGAGTCACACAAGGGACCTCCAGGATAGCTCTGGCTGTGTGGTCGTTGCCTTCACCTGAGAAGGGTCTGGCTTTGACCTGATTCGAGATTATGGCTTTCTCACAAGAAATACTACTTTGGTGAAACTCTATTGAAATTATCAGTACTTTAAGTTTCCAATACTTATCAAGTACAATAGTTGAACATGGCATGGTAGCTGAAAGTGTAAGAGGCAGAATTTGGCAGACTCCATTTTTTTCAATTTCAATGGTTTCAGGTTTTTTGGTTTCCGCCAAACTAAAGAATGTCCTCACGAGCTGTGAATTCACAGGTCACTACAGACAATTTTTGAAACTGAATCACACTGTAATTTTTGGCATATGATCTGTGAGCTGTGCTGGGAAGGTTCACGGTGATTCCATAATAAATCTCGGGTTTTTACTCTATAGCGAAAAATTACTCTTTTCCATCATGAAGGTAAAGCAGAGTATGTACAACTAGAGTGTGGAATATCTTTGTCACTCGTGATGAACCGACTTGGTCCAATGCTTTAACGACTTCTCCAATGTCGCCGTACTCAGGTTTCATTTTCTGAGTGGATCATCGGCAGAATGAATAATATCAAGAATCCTCTAAGGCAATGTTTGGAACTAAATTTCAGTGTCTCCGGAAGCACTGCAAAAATCACCACGTATAGCCAAAGTGAAGTATCAATAGGCCCTCTCTGTGTCCTTTAAACCGCCCATATGATCGTTACAAATGGCGGCTTGAGGAAAGGTGGTTTTGGAATTGGTTTCTCTCTAGTCTTACATGATGCATCTATACTATATTGCATTATAATACAGGAAAGGGTCACTTGCTGGCATAAAGCACAGCAGGCAGGAATAGAAGAGTCAACTTGGGGAAAAAAAAGTGTTTTGTGATTTCATTTTGATTTCTGCAGTTTGGAAACCAGTTGAACAGTTTAACTGTTTTCAAGATGACTCACAAAAATACATATGAGCATTGAAAATGTACAGAAGAACAATCGGGGAAACATTTCTGCAAGCTCCAATTACTGGAACCCAGACATAAGCATACAAGCTAAGACACAGCTACACCAGGCTTCAGCAGGAAACCATGCAGATCTCCTGGGAAGGGCTTCCCTCTCTGAATGCAGCTGCCTGTCCACAGGATGCTCTTGGCCCAGGCACCTTGATTCCTCCAACTGGAAAGACATAGAAAAACGCCTCCACATCCCATTAAAATGCCCAAAGATTTAGCCAAGGCTCCTATGAAACAATCTGCTGTCTTCATCCAGGTAAGGGCAACTTCACATTTTAAGACACTAAGATCGTGGGTAAATCCAGGTGGGACTGAGATGCAGAAGCTCCAGCAAACACACTCCTGTCATTGGAAGATGAACGCGGTACTTATTCCTGCACAAACAGACCCTGCCCTCTGGCCTTGGGCCTAGAACATGACTCTTTTGTAGTTGCTGTTGGGGAAGAGGCCCTTGGGCTTTAACCTGTGAACAGCCTCCCTTAAATGCTTGGGCTGCAGCGGGGGCGTCTCTCCCCACATCTCACACATGTCCAGGGCCTCTTCCACCACCTCTCCAACAAAGACCTTGGCTATTCCAGCCATGGCAATGGCCGCGTTCTCAGACACCGAACTGCCAGTGATAGACCGCATCAGACCCGCAATGCGTGCTCTTGGGAAAGCTGACCGGCGACACACTTCGTAGCGGGACAGCTGCTCCTCAGACATGGCAGACAGCAGGGTTGTCATCCTCTGAGCCTCCTCTGCATCCACGGTGGGCTTCCTCTCCTTCTTGCGTTTCGTATGTGTTTTCCGTCTTTTGGCTGCAGGAGGAGCTGAGGCTGAGGCCTCACTGTCACCTTCTGTGAGGTCCATGACATCCTCACTCCTGAGCTCACCTTCCTGATCCCTGGGTTCTTCCAAGTTCCCATCTAGGTCCTCAGGGATTCCATCCTTCTTGCTGCCCTTCAGACCTCGGGGCATGGCGAGCATCTCAGCAGACACGCCTGTTTGCCTGCCGGTCTCCATGGGTGAGATTCAAGTCTGCTCCGTGACAGCAGCTGTACAGGCAGAAGTTCCGGCTGGGGTGGTTTGATTATGGATCTGCGATGAGAACCTTTCAAAGATTTTAGCTGCTGTGTTTCTGCTGAGCCAGTTTCGCCGTAACCGGACACAGTTCCCGGCCTCCCCTTCCCACACACAAACACACACACTGAATTTTCTCACTTCCACAGTGTGAAGAAACTTGTGGAAGGAGAGTATATTAGTTTTAGATCAATGCAGAACGAATTCTCACCAATTTTGGGTATTTAAAACAAACACCAGCTCACAGGTCAGAAGTTCTGCTAGGCCAAGTGACTGCCTCCTGCTCAGAGTCCCAGGAGGGACCTCCAGGATGGGTCTGGCTGTGTGGTCGTTGCCTCCACCTGAGAAGGGTCTGGCTTCGATATGATTCGAGTTGGTGGCAGAATTCAACAATGCCTTAGGGTTGTGAGCCCCAGGCCCACTTGTTTGTTCTGCCTGCTGCCGTGAGGATGCTCTCAGCTCCTACCCGTGCTGCCCAGGTCTGGGCCGTGAGGCTCCCTGGGTGTGCACAGCCAGTGCTGGGGAATCTCCCACAGGGGAGCGTAATCACAGGGGGGTTCAGTCCTCCCTTATAAAGGGCTCAGATGATTGAATTAGACCCAGCCCTTAGCAGCCATTGGTTCAGGATATCCCTAATCTAATCAGGAAGTTGGGCGGGCACATCAATTCATGCTTCCGCCCACACCCAAGGGAGGGGCAGACACAGGGCGAGTCTCTGAGGGGAGGGAAATGCAAGGGACATTTCAGAATTCAGTCTTCTTCACAGAATCGAATGATTCCTCACAACAATAAAGAAACAATAAAGAAACTATTTACAGTAAAAATGAGACATTTTACGAAATTGCGCATTAGAAAATTTAAATGTCTGAGAAAAAAATCCCTAACTCATAGGGAAACAAGTGATTTATCAGGCACTCTGAAAATAAACTGGGCTGGGTGATGGGAATAAGAAAATATGATTTCAATGTTATTTTTTTTAATATATTTATTTATTTATTTATTTTTGAGACAGAGTCTCGCTCTGTCCCCCAGGCTGGATTACAGTGGCCTGATCTCAGCCCACTGCAGCCTCTGCATCCTAGGCTCAACGGATTCTCCTGCCTCAGCCTCCAGAGTAGCTGGGACTAAATGTGCGCACTACCACGCCAGGCAAATTTTTGTATTTTTTCAAGGAGAGACGAGGATTCACCATTCCGGCCAGGCTGATCTTGAATTGCTGACTTCAAGTGATCTGCCCCACTTTGATTTCTCAAAGTGAAGGGATTACAGGCATGAGCCACTGCGCCCAGATTTCAATTTTATATATTACATGTGTATGTATACATAGGTCACAGAGAAGCACCAAAGAGACATAAAATTACGTCATGCACAAAGATTTACATCACATTTAGGGAAAATTATGTTGATAAATGGCATAAAAACTACTTCAGAAGATAAAGCAGACACTCAAATATCTGACTTTTAAAGAGCTTTTGTTTATTCAAAAATAGTTGGTAGAAGATATGAAATTACTGGCCAGGCACGGTGGCTCATGCCTGTAATCTCAGCATTTTGGGAGGCGGAGTTGTGTGGATCTCCTGAGGTCAGGAGTTCATGACCAGCCTGGACAACATGGTGAAACCCGTCTTTACCAGGAAAACATATTTACATCGGAATCTTTGTAAGTCACATAGGGCCTTTCATTTCCAATATTTACTGGTACTGAAGTCATGATCGGTAGGTTATAAGCAGAAACAAATGGCAACTCAAAGAGGGAGAACCATCCAAAACTTGAAAATTAACCCCTGAAATAAAACAAACACAGATACATAAACTTCTCATAAAAATTAATTACCATATACAGTTATCTCTCACTATACTCTAAAAAGACACTGAATTTATCTAAGCTTTATATACTCCTCATTTTTCTCTTAAACTCTAGTAGGTCTCTATCTAGAGAGATAAACACCCTAGAGAGAGATCTAAATTAATGACTTCTTAAATGAAAAGATTAGAAGGCCACATGCCCCCAAAATATGCAAGATAATTGAGGCACAAAGAACAAAATTTAATGTTGATTTATGTTTATTTTTATCTAAGGAAAAGAATTAAATTAACTAATGTTTATATACAAAATGACTATAGCCCATAAATTAAGCTTATAAATAACCAGATATATATGTGGGCTATTCAAAAATGTTTTACTGGCCGGGCATGGTGGCTCATGCTTGTAATACCAGCACTTTGGGAGGTTGAGGCAGGCAGATCACTTGAGCCCAGGAGTTTGAGATCAGCCTGGACAACAGAGCAGAACCTCTTCTCTATAGAAAATACGTAAATTAGCCAGGCACGGTGTGCATGCCAGTGGTGCCAGCTACTTGGGAGGCTGAGGTGGGAGGATCCCTTGAGCCCAGGAGGCATAGGTTGCCGTGAGCAGAGATCTTGCTACTGCACTCCAGCCTAGGTGATAGAGCAAGAAGCTATCTCATTTTTTTTGAAAAAAAGCTCTTACTGATAAGATGCAAGTGGAAAAAAAATAAGAAGAGCCTCCTAGATTAACTCTTCCAAAACATAAACCTCACAGATGATAGTAACTTCAGCCATCCACTCTCTTCTGATTGCATTAGATAGACTGCCACAGAAACCTATGGGCCAGATCCAGGTCACATTTTATAGTCTCCAGAGAAAAATTACAGACACTTTGTACCCTACAACACACTTAGCTGCTTTCTAAGCATCAATGTTAGGAACATATTGGAATTGCTTTTAAAAGGATAAAAGCATTTAAAGTTTTACCCATGAAAATAATTATCATTCTTTATCCCGTTACTATAATTCTTGCTCTGAAATCTCTTTTAATTTTCTTCAGCATTTCTTCCATTTCTGTCTATGCCCAATTAAAAATTTTTTTAAATTACGTCAGAACCACCATTATTATTTTGCAGAATGTATACAAAGGCATTCATAACAAGCAGAGCCTTTCCGGATGCACCCATAAAGGTGCTGGCAGAGGAAAGTTTTAAAACTGTTACACCCCAAAACCATTATGTGTCTCTAATTGTTAACTTAAAAATAAGAAACATACTAATTAGATGGCTGTTTTCTTGATCACTGACATCCCCTTTGTAGACAACAGACTCAAAAAACTATTTTTCAGCAAATATTTATTGAACACTTTTCTACATGCTATGTATCCTGGAGGAAATGCTGTATTTGTGAAGTTGAATTCTTCCACTCTAGACATTTAAAAATCTGATATTTTCAAGTATTACTCTGAATTTTTGTTTACATTAGCCAGGCTGGGAATTTCTTAATGGTTTTGGTCTGTCAGAAAACCAAGCAATGTGTTAGAGGCTCTAAGTTTATCCAGTATAGTTCCAGGACGGTTCCTTGTAGTGTTACTTCTTTAATTATTACACAAATACTGAATGTGGATACATAATTGACAGTGCCTTACATATTCAGATACCATGAGTTTTTCATTTTATTATCATCAAATTTCTTATTGAGTAGAAAATGCTTTTGGACAACAAAAGAAATAATCCTTAGTAAACAAACAACCTATGGCATGGGACAAACCATCTGCAAACTATGCATCTGACAAAGGACTAACAGATCCAGAATCTACAAGCAGTTCTAACAAATAAACAAGAAAAAAACAAATATAATCCCACTATAAAGTGGGCAAGTGATGTGCATAGAAATTTCTCAGAAGAAGATACAACAATTCCAAAAAAAAAAAAAAAAAAAAAAAAACAGAGGAAAAGATGCCCCGCATCACTAATCATCAGAGAAATGCAAAGTAAAACCACAGTGCGGTATCACCTTACCCCACCAGAATGACCATTATTCAATAGTCAAAAATGATAGATGCTGGGGTGGATGTGGTGAGAGGGAATGCTTAGGCACTGCTGTCACAATGCAAATTAATGTAATCTCTGTAGGAAACAGCATGAAGATATCTCAAAGTACATCTCCCATTCGATCCAGTAATCCAAATAGTGGGTAGACACACAAAAGAAAAAGAACTCACACCACTTAACAGACCTGCACACATATGTTTACCCTAGCACAATTCGCGATTGCAAAGATATAAAATAAACCTGAGTGCCCATCAGCTGATGAGTGAGTAAAGTTAAATGGGGTTCATATATGCCATGGACTACTACTCAGCCATAAGCAATGAAATCATGTCTTTTACAGCAACGTGGATGAAACTACAGGCCATTATTCTCAGTGGAGTCATTCAGGAATCTAGAGCAAAATGGTGCACATTCTCACTTAGAAGTGGGAGCTAAGCTGTGGGTAGGAAAGGCA
The DNA here is from genome assembly GCF_000001405.40 of Homo sapiens. Taxonomy (NCBI): domain Eukaryota; kingdom Metazoa; phylum Chordata; class Mammalia; order Primates; family Hominidae; genus Homo; species Homo sapiens. Next base: position 17,627,734 of record NC_000005.10, on the reverse strand, counting down.
TACAGGGTGGTAACACAGACATTAGAGACTCAGAAGTGGCAGGGTGATGGGGGGATGAAAAACTGCCTACTGGGTGCAATGTAGGTATAGTAGTCACGTGATGAGCGCACTAAAATTCTTGACTTCAACACCATACAATTCACGTATGGAACAAAAACCACTTATGAGTGGTTTTTACAAGCTAATGAAACATAATTTTTTTTAAAAAACTACACAACTAGAAAATAATAATACTAAGCTCTAATTAAAAAAATGCTAACAGGAATGTATTTTGTAATATTGATATCATAAAATTTGTCATTCTGTGCATGAAATCTGCATTGAATTGAACAATAATTTATGTTACAAGTATCACAAAAGTTCATTAAGAGTAAACTGAAATAGACTTGACCACCGTACAATTCATCTATGGTGCCCAAAACAATTTGGTACTGCTAAAGCTATTCAAATAATGAAATGTTTTCAATATTTACTTAGCTAAGCTGTGACCTCGGTTCAGCAATTCAGAGAGGTCGGGGCTGACTTCTCAGGACCTCATGGTGTTTTCATCCTGGGCAACAACAGGATAGCTCTGTTCAGGCATCAAATCCACATTCAAAGTGGAAAAGAAGCCAAAGGGGGCATCAGTGACAGTCACATGTCACTGTTTTCTCACAACAGCTTTGCCTTCCCCAGGAGGCTACCAGCAGATTTGCAGGAGCATCACCTTTGAAGAGAGAAATGCCCCAGGAGAATCCTTCATAGAGGAGTGGCCATTTCAGGTTTCCATATTCCCCTTCCCAGTTCACTTCATCCTCATGGGATCTGATGAAGACCTCATGATCTCAAGCCTTGGTGTTTTTCCACAGACATGTAAGTTGTCTAACATGCAACTTGTTTTTGTTTTTCTTTTGAGATGGAGTCTCACTTTGTCACCCAGGCTGGAGTGCAGTGGCGTGATCTCGGCTCACTGCAACTTCCGCCCCCCAGGTCCAAGCAATTCTCCTGCCTCAATCTCCCGAGTAGCTGTGATTACAGGTGCATGCCACCACACCTGGTCAATTTTTGTATTTTTAGTAGAGACGGGGTTTCACCGAGTTAAGCCAGGATGGTCTCAATCTGTTGACCTCATGATCCATCCACCTCAGCCTCCCAAAGTGCTGGGATTGCAGGCATGAGCCACCAAGCTTGGCCTAATATGCAACTTTAAGTAACTATTTCCTTGATGTAAATAAAATGTAAACTTTCAGAATCCATTCGGCACCCAAAACGTTAAGTGACAGATCTCATTTACCATCCCTCCCACAATGCACAATCCAGAGGTCTGTACCTCTCTTGGGTGAGGAAGAATGCAGGGACTTAATGGGCTTTCACAGCCCTGATTAGGTTAAGCATCTGCTGAAGCACAGAATGCAGTGAAAAGTAGCTGGGTGGGTCTAATCCAATCATCCAAGCCTCCTATAAATGACTGAATTTGGCTGAGATCACAGAGATCTCCAGCTAGAGCAAGACTGCCTGGGAGAAAGATTCCCCACTGCTGTGTGTAGACCGAGGAATCCCAAGGCTACTCAAGGAGACTCAATACAGGGACCTCAGACCCACTGATCAGTGAGTTGGTAAGTATGGGGCTGGGTTGGAAGGGGCTAAGTGTATGGCAGCATCTTCTGCATAGATCCCAACACACAGACTCTCTGAATCCTGCCCACAGCCTCACCACCATTGCTGTCTGGTACCAGCACTGCTTCCAGTTCACCAGGTTCAGCCCAGTGACAAGGCAGAGGCCACAGCCCTACACCATGGCTCGCATTAGGCAGACTGACCACAAAGCCACCGCCTGGCAGGCCCCCAGGAAGCCCCTGGCCACCAAAGTCACCGGCAAGAGGGTCCTGGCTACACGAGGGATCAAGAAGCCTCACCGCCACAGGCTTGGCACCCTGGCGCTGCACAAAACCAGGAGGTACCAGAAGTCCACACAGCTGCTTCTGCACAAGCTGACCTTCCAGCGCCTGGAGCACGAGATTGCCCAGGCCATCAACCCAGACCTGCGCTTCCAATGTGCGGCCACTGGCGATTTCAGGGAAACAGCGAGGCCTACCTGGTCCCCCTCTTTAAAGACATCAACCTATGTGTTATCCATGCCAGGCGTGTCACAGTTATGCCCAGAGACATGCAGCTGGCCTGCCAACTCGGCAGAGAGGGTGCTGGGGAGCCCACGCTCCTGGGAAACGCTGCACTCTAGACGGCTTCGTTTCCATTTGGTTGTGTTTTTCAACGTCTTTGTGTTAATCATAGTTCTGATATTAGCAGTTCTCTTCATTTTTGGTTTTATGTCCCTCATGGGGTCCAAAAGCAGCCCTGCACATGATTAGGAGTAACAACACAGGCAGATATAAAGGGTATGAGTGTTTCTGTTTTCTTTTGTTTGTAAACTGTCCATCTACATTGAGGGTCTAATACATTCATGTCAACTGGGAATTTCTCACTGAACGCTTTTCAACAGTTCAAATCAAGAACAATTGTGAAAAAATGTGCTCATTAGTATTATTGAAAACCAAATAAATTTCTTATTGGTGGCAAATAGATAATGTCTCCTGCATTTGATCAAACAGCAGATGCGATCCACACTTTGACTTTTCCTATATGCAGCTCCGTGTTCTCAATGTTCCCTGTCTCCTGAGCTATTCCTGTGTGTTTGTTTGCTATGAACATACATTACACTCTACTTTCTAAAATGTGAATAGAGTCTCTATACACAAGTCATTTCACATTATGGGAGGCAAGAACCAGTGTGGGTCTGTTTGTGGGTGGGAAAGGGAGAGAGGCACCTGTGAGAAGTCCGATGCAGTCCATCCCCAGAAGCTCAGCATCTTGCAACGTGGTCATAGCCCTGGCCATGGCTGGAATGATACAGGTCTTGGTTAGGGAAGTGGTAGGAGAGGCCCTGCTTATGTTTGAGATGTGGGGAGACATGCCCCACTGCAGCCCAAGCATTGGAGGGAGACCTTTCTCAGGGGACAGCCCAGTGACCACTTCCCAAACACCTACTACAAAACAAAGTCATCTTCCTCTGGGCCCCAGTCTAGAAAGAAAGGCCTGATCTTAGAGGAAAAAGTACTGGTTCCAGTCTTTCTATGACAGAGCCCTCTGTACGCTGGAGCTTCAGTATCTCAGCCCATCCTGGACTTAACCATGACTTAACATCTTTCTTACATCTTACATTAGTCTCACCCAGATGAAGGCAGCAGCCTGATTAATAATGTCATCCAATCATATTTGTATCTCAGATGGGGCACAATGGCTTATTTCTATGATCAGAGAGCATTTTGGGAGACCGGGGTTGGTGGATCACTTGAACTCAGGAGTTCCAGACCAGCCTGGGCAACATGACAAAACTTCCCCTCTACAATTAAAATGGAAAAAAAAAAAGCTAAATGTGGTGGTTGGTGCCTGCTGTTTCAGCTACTCCAGAGGCTGAGGTAGGAGGATCTCTTGAGCTCCAGAAGTGGAGATTATAGTGAGCCGAGATGGAACCACTGCCCTCCTACCTGGCTGACAGAGTGAGACCCTGGCTCAAGAAAATAACAATCATTATCATCATGTTTGGGTCTCTGAGGTCCATGTATGAGCAGGCATTGTTCTAGGGCTTCCTAGCTGGAAGAACAAAGGTACATGGGCCTTGAGCATCCTTTGGATGTGGAGCTGTCTTCAGAGAGAAGAAAGAAACCCTTTTAAGAGACTATGGTGGTTTCATACCGAATCCTTAAGTGGATATAACAGGATTTTTGCTCATATGTGATTTTAAGGAGACACAACAAAGTCTTCCCTTACAATATTCTATCCTGAAGGTGCTGGGCTTTCTAAGAGTACTGGAGTAGCTGCCCTTGGAAACATTTAGTACTTTTCCATAACTTTTCCTGGGGAATCAAGCACCTCTTTCCCAGCGTGTAAAAATAAAAATGAAATTAAAAAACTATTCTTCTCTAAAATGACTCTTTTTACTTTCCTACCAAGACTGTTTCATGTCGGGGAATGATGTTTGATGATGTCAGAATGGTAACACACTCTGGGATCTACATGGAAAACTAAGAGAAGCACAGACCCCAGATACCCCGTCTCATCTGGGCACTCCTTTCCACACCTTCACCTCCAAGGAATGGCCCCAATGTAAACTAGGTTTATGGCTGAAATAACATGTTTATTTCTGTTTTGTGCTTCTCTAAAACAGAAATACATATGATGACAATACATTTTCATACTAGATAACATTCAATTGTTACTTGATTTTCCAAATTATTCCATAAGAACACAAAAATTAGAAATAAAATTCCCTCTCAGTGTAGGACTTGACCATTAAATATTTTGTGTAATTGAACATTATTTGTAATTATACTGACATGTAATTGATCCAATACCCTGAATATAAGATAAATGGTAACAAATGTATAACCTACTAGAAGAAAACAGGGGATGTCCTCATTGACAATGGTTAACCCAATGATTTTTGGAATATGTCCCAAAATCAGAGACAGCAAGAGGGAAAATACATAAATGGATTGCATCCAAATGAAAAAACAAAAAATCTGCAGAGCCGACAAAACAATCAACACCATGAAGAGACAGAATCATAAAGAGAGAAAATATTTGCAAACCCTACATTCAATAAGGAATTAACTATTTACTGTCCAAAATATACTAGGAACTCTAAGGACTTGAAACCAAGAAACAATACAATTTAAAAACTGGGCAAAGGAACTAAATAATAGACATTTCTGAAGAGAAGCCATGAAAGTGGCCACCAGGTATATATCCATATATACCTTCTGTTACTAGTATATATATATACTCAACATCACTAATCTCCAGAGAAATGCAAATAAAAACTGAAAGAAGATAACACCTTATGTTCATTAGAATGGCTATGATCAAAACATCAAAGGACAAAACTTGTCGACGAGGATGTGGAGGAAAGGGAGCCCTTGCATTCTTCCTCGCCATGTAAATTAGGACAGCCATTATAGAAAACAGTATGGACCTTCCTCCACAAACTAAACAAATACAGCTACCATACGATCCAGCAAGCCCACACTGGGAGGTCTATATCAAAAGGAAATGAAATCGGTCTATTGAAGAGATATCTGCACTCCCACATTGATTGCAGCACTACTTACAAGACCTAAGATAGGGTATCCACCTAAATATCCAAAAGCAGATAACAGGAGGAGGAAAATCTGACATATATACACAAGGGAATACCATACAGCCTTAAAGAAGAAGGAAATCTTGTCATTTGTGACACATGGGTGCACCTGGAGAACATCATGCTAAGTGAAATAAGTCAGGCATAGGTAGGAACACAAATACCACATAATCTCAATGCTATGTAGAATGTCACAAAGGTAGTCTGATGGATGTAAAAGAGAAGAAAAGTGGTTGTTTGGTGCTGTGGTGACAGGCGGTGGGGAATTTGAGAAGACATTGGTCAAAATACACATTTCAGTTACATAGGGGGAATAAGTTCAAGGATTATTGTATAGCATGATGACTATAGTTAACAATAGATCGTATTTTTGAAAAATCTCATTAACATGGATGTGCAGTGTTCTCACCACAGTAATATATATGTGAGGTAATGAATGTCAACTACCTAGATTTAGATATTAGACAATGTGTACATACTTTAAAACAGCATTTTGTACATAAGAAATATATACAACAAGATGTGTCCACACTTTAAATATGAATACACAAGTCAATAGTTGAGTGGTTGCAAGGGACCGAGAGTGAAGGAGAGAAGTGGGGAGACTGGACAGAGTACGATTGCATGGAAGTGAAACTAGTCCATAGAATACAATAATGGTGGATACATGCAATTATGCCTTTGCTTGAATCCATGGAATATACAACACTCAAGTGAATCCTAAGGAGAGCGATGGAGTTGGAGTCACAGTGATGTGTCCATGTAGGTTGAAAGGTTGTAGACAACGTACCACTCTGGGGCAGAAAGTTCATAGTGAAGGGGGCTATGCATATGTGTGGTGAGAGGATATTGGGGACCTATGTTCCTTCTGCCCAATTTTGGCAAGAACCTAAAGGTTTGTTACAAAATGAGCTCTATTTTTAAAGAGAAATGTGAACTTATTTTGTGAGTATTGATTTTCCTGGAAATTCCTGTTCTGTGTGTGGTATATGCATTGCATGCATGGGCATTAAATTTATACTATAAGTTGTCAGAGAAGCCTGTGCACCGTGTATTGAAATAGGAGCCTTTGGTTGGTGTGTTGTTTATTTGTTTGTTTCTTTTCTTTACTCTGCTTTGCTTTTACTCATGAAGCCAATAGTATGAAGGTAGCTGCTGAGTCCTCGGTTCAGCAGCTCAGTGAACTCAGGGCTGGCTTCGCGGGGCTTCATGGCATTTCCAAAGCAGGCAATGGAAAGAAGGCTCACCCCCTCCATCAAGGTAAAAAAAGACCCAGGGAGGGCTTCAGTGACAGGCACATATGACCATTAGAACAAAAAGCCTCAGCTTCCCGCGAAGGCTACGCGCAGATTTCCATGAATGTCACTTTGGGAGAGAAAAATGCTCCCAGAGCATCCCTGGTAGAGGAGTGACCATTTCGGTTTGCATCTTCTCCTGCTGGTAAGTCTGGGGTGGGTTGGAAGGGGCTCAGTGTGTGGGAGCATCTTGTACATGGATTTCAACTCACGGGCTCTCTGAATCCTGTCCACAGCCCCAGTGCCCTTGCTCTCTGACTCCAGCGCCGCCTGCAGTGGGCCAGGCTCAGCCCAAGGAGAGGGGAGAGGCTACTGCCCGCCCCCATGGGGCCCATCAAACAGACCGCCTGCAAAGCCACCACCTGGCAGGCTCCCAGGAAGCCCCGGACCACAAAAGCCGTCCGCAAAAGGGCGCCCTCTAGAGGATGGATCAAGAAGTCTCACAGCTGCAGACCTGGCCCCATGGCGCTGAGTGAAATCAGAAGTACCACAAGTCCACTCAGCTGCTCCAGCACAAGCTAACCTTCCAGCGCCTGGTGCGCGAGATCCCCCGGACCATCAGCCGGGACCTGGGCTTCCAGAGCGTGGCCGTTGGTGCTTTCAGGGGACCAATGAGGCCTACCTGGTGCGCCTCTTTGAAGACACCAACCTGTATGTCATCCATGCCAGAAGCGTCCCAATTATGCCAAGAGACGTGCAGCTGGCCCACAGCCTCCGTGGAGAGGGTGCTGAAGAGCCCTCCTGGGAAATCTTGCATTGTAAATGGTTTCCTTTGCGTCCTGTTGTGTTTTTCCTCTTCTCTCTGTTAATGATAGATATGATGTTAGAAGTTGTGTTCAGTATCAGTATCATTTCCTGCACGGGGTCTAAAAGTAGCTAAGCATACGATTGAGAACAGAAACCGAAGCAAAAATCACAGGTAGAGACTGTTTTTCTATTTTCTTTTAATTGTAAATTTTCAATCTACATTGAGGAGTTAATGCATTCATGTCAAGTGGAAATGTCTGAGTGAACACGTTTCACTAGTTCAAATCAAGAACAATTCTGAAAAAACTGGTTCCTTAATTTTATTAAAAACCAAAGAAACTTATAGGCGTCAAACCGATAATGTCTCCTGTGATTGATCAAACAGTAGAGGAGATCCACACTTTGGCTTTCTCCATATACAGTTCCATGTTTGCAATGTTCCCTGTCACCTTGGCTGTTCCTCCTAGTTTGCTATGAACATACATTGATCTCTACTTTCTACAATATGAATAGATTCTGTATGAATAGACTCTGTATCCATAAGTCACTTCACATTAGGGTTGGCAGAATTACCAGTGTGGGCGTGTTTGTGGTGGGAAAGGGAGAGAGGCACCCTGTAGAAGTCTGATGCATTCCGTCAGGTGCAGGTCAGTGTCCTAGAACCAGGTTACTGCCATGCACATGGCTGTAATGACCCAGAACTTTGTCGGGGAGGTGGTAGGAGAAGCCCTGGCCATGTGTGAGATGTGGGAAAATGCCCCCTGTGACACCCAAGCACTGGAAAAAGGCCTTTCACATGGGACAACCCAGGTCCTGCTTCCCCAACATCCAGTACCAAAATAAACTAAAAAAATCATCTTCCTCTGGGAAGATATTGGTCTCACCCAGATGAAGGCAGCAGCCAGTTTCATAATCCCTTTCAATCATGTTTATATCTCAGACCAGGCACAATGACTCATTTCTGTAAAACCAACATTTTGGGTGGCCAAGGGCGGCAGATCGATTGAGCTCAGAAGTTCCTGTCCAGGCCAGGAATGTTGGCAAAACCTCCTCTCCAAAAAAAAAAAAAAAAAATTAGCTGGGTGCGGTTGCTGGTGTCTATGGTTTCACCTACTTGGAGGCTGAGGTAGAAGGACTGATTGAGCTGTGGAGGTGGAAGTTAAAGGGAGCCAAATTGACATCACTGCCCTTCCACCTGGCCAACAGAGTAAGACTCTGTCTCAAAAAACTAACAATCATTGTCATTATATTTGGTTCTCTGAGGTCCATGCATGAGTGGGTGCTTTTCTGGGTCTTCCTAGTTGGAGGAAGAAAGGAGCATGGGCCTTGGGCATCCTGTGGACGGGGAGCTGTTTTCAGAGAGAAAAAAGACATCCTTTTAAGAGACTATGGTGGATTCACACTGAATCCTGAAGTTGCTATGACTTTGGATGTTTTTGCTCAAATGTGATTTTAAGGAGATAAAACAAACAGTAAGTCTTCCCTTACAATACTCTATCCAGAAGGTCCCGGGCTTTCTAAGAGCACTGGAATAGTTACCTTGTAAACATTTAATACTTTTCCATAACTTTTCCTGGGAAATCAACCAACTGTTTTTCAGCTTGCAAAAATAAAAATGAAATTAAAAATTAGTTTTTCCTCTAAAATGGGTTTTTTCACATTCGGACCAAGATTGTTTTATGTCATGGAGTGATCTTTCATGATGTTAGGAGGGTAGAACACTGTAGGAGCTGCATGAAAAACTACACAGAGAAACACAAACCCCAGAGACCCTGTCAAATATCTTCATTCATTTCCACACATTCGCCTCCAAAGAGCTGGTCCCAATGTAACCTATATTAATGGCTGAAAGAACATATTGATGTGTGTTTCATGCATGTCTAAAACAGAAATGCATACAATAACAATATATCCTTATACTACATGATGTTTTATTTTTAGTTTATTTTGCAGATTACTGTATTAAAAATATAATGTCCTCTCACTGTAGGATTTGAGCATTAAATATTTTGTGTAATTGAAGCCTATTTGTAATTGTACTGACATGTAATTGCCAAATACCATATATATAAGATAAATGATAATAAATATATAGCAAAAATAAAATGGAGTTCCAGTTTTTGGGGTGACTCCTAAGAAAATTCAATGTCATCACTCTATCTTCACAATGAGAAAAAAACTGAAAAAGCAAAGAATCAGTATCTCCTTGGAAATCTCTCTGAGTGATGATGTCAGTGGCAAATACAAAGAGAAAACAAAAAGATTTCATGGTTTTCTATCTTCAAAGTATGCTATCAATCTGTAGGAACCAAAATGGCATAACACTGGCATAAAAACAGACACTTAAGCTACCGGATCAGAGCAGAGAGTCTAGAAATCAGTCCATCCATATACAGCCAACTGATAGTTTAAAAGGGTGCCAACAACTCACCACCACAAAACCACAGTTTCTTCCATCAATGGCGATAGGGAAACCTGGTAGCCACATGAAGAAAAATGAAATTGGACCCCTATATCTTACTGTACACAAGAATAAATCCAAATAAATTAAAAACTAGAAAGTATAAACCAACTAGAAGAAAACAGGGGACATCCTCATTGACTCTGGTTAAGCCAAAAACTTTTGGTATATGACCCAAAAGCACAGACAACAAAAGGGTGAATAGACAGATGGATTGCATCCAACTTAAAAAAAAAAAATCTGCAAAGCCGACAAGACAATAAACATCATGAAGAGACAAAATCAAAATGAGAGAAAATATTTGCAAACACTACATCATATAAGGGATTAATTACTGTCCAAAATACTCTAGGAACTCAAATGACTCAATAGCAAGAAAAAACACAATTTAAAAACCGGGCAAAGGACCTAAATGACATACCTTTCTGAAAAGAAGACATACAGTGGCCAACTGGTATGTATATACGTATATATGCTCAACATCGCTAATCATCAGAGAAATGTAAGTTAAAACTGAAAGAAGATACCACCTCACACTCATTAGGATGTCTATGATCAAAAAGTCAAAAGACAACACTTGTTGATGAGGATGTGGAGGAAAGGGAACCCTTGCACTATTCATGGGAACGTAAATTAGGACAGCCATTATAGAAAGCAGGATGGACATTCCTCCAAAAATGGAAAGAATAGAGCTACCATATGATCCAGCAATCCCACACTGCCAGGTATATACCAAAAGGAAATTAAATCAGTATTGAAGAGATATCTGCACTCCCATGTTAAGTCACAATAGCTAAGATATGGAATTCACCTAAATGTCCAAAACTGGATGACAGGATGGGGTAAATCTGATATACATGCACAATGGAATACTATGCAGTCTTAAAGAAGGACATCTTGTCATTTGTGACACATGGGTGCACCTGGAGAACATCATGCTACGTGAAATAAGCCAGGTGTAGGAAGACAAATACCACGTCATCTCAATGATATGTGGAATCTCACAAAGTTAATCTAATAGATGTCAAAAAGAAGAATTCTGGTTGTCAGGGGCTGGGTGGCTGTGGGTGAAGGATTGAGAAGACGTTTGTCAAAATACACAGCATTTCAGTTATATAGGGAGAATAAGCTCAAGGACTATATTACAACACGGTGACTATAATTTAACAATAGATCATATTCTTGAGAAGTGCTATTAGCCTGGATGTGAAATGTTCTCACCACAATAATACGTATGTCAGGTAATGGCTGTCAGTTACCTAATTTAGATATTAGACAATGTGTTCATACTTTATAACAGCATTATGTACATAAGAAATATATACAATGAGATGTGTGTATTTTAAATAAAAAGAAATAAATCAATAGTTGAGTGGTTGCAAGAGACCGAGGGTCAAGGGGGAGTGCAGAGATGGGACACAGTGCATTTGTACAGAAGTGAAACTAGTCCACAGAATGCAATAACGGTGGATACATGTAATTACACCTTTGCTCGAGTCCATAGAATGTACAACACCCAAGTAAGTCCCTAAGGAGAGCTATGGTCTTGGAGTCAGAGTGATGTGTCCATGCAGGTTGAATGACTGTAGCCAACATACTACTCTGGAGCAGAAAGTTGATAGTCAAGGGGGCTATGCATATGTGGGGAAAGGGGATAAGGGAAACCTCTGCTCCTTCTGCCTGATTTTGCTGTGAACTTAAGGTTTTCTACAAAAGTAGCTCTCCTTTTAAAACTTTTTTTAAAATGTGAACTTATTTTGTGAGTATTGATTATCATGGGATTTCCTGTTCTGGGCATGGTCTGTGCATTGCATAGAAGGGCATTCAATTTCTACTACAAGTATCAGAGAAGCCTGTTAATAGTGTATCAAAATAGGGGCCTTTTGTATGTGTATTGTTTGATTGTTTGTTTGTTTTTGTTTGCTTTACTTGTTCTCATGGAGCCAGAAGTATGAAGGTAGCAGCTGTGACCTGGGTTCAGCAGTGCAGTGAACTCAGGGCCTTCACTGGGCCTCATGCCATTTCCAAAATGGGCAATGGAAACAAGGCTCAGCCCTGGCGTCAAGGTAAAAAAAGGAGCCAGGATGCCTCAGTGACAGGCATATATGACCGTTTGATCAAAAAGTCTCAGCTTCCCCCAAAGGCTACCCCCAAATTTCCACGAATATCACTTTGTGGGAGAAAACCTGTCCCCCGGAGCATCCCTAATAGAAGAGTGACCTTTTTGATTTTCCATCCATCCCTCCCGGTTTCAACTCATCCTCAGAGAACCTGAGAGACACCTCACGATGGCACCCTTGGTGTTTTGCGGCAGTCACGGAAGTCATCTAATGTGCAACTGTATTGAAATGTCTTTTTCATTGTAACTTCCATGATGATCGTGAAATGTAAACTTTTGGGATCTCTTTGGCACCTAGATTCTAGCTAACTCTCACCTATCATCTCTCCCATGAGGCACAGTCCAGAGGTTCAGCCCTTCCAGGGCTGCATGCAGAACCCAGGACTTGATTGTGTTTTCACAACCCTGATGAGGTTGAGGGTCTGGCGAAGCAGTGAGAGCAATGGAAGGTAGCTGCGTGGGTCTAATGCAATCATCTGAGCCCCTTATAATAGGCTGGACTTGGCTGAGACTACACAGATGTCCAGCCAGAGCCAGGCTGCCTCGGGGGAGGGAGATTTACCACAGCTGATGTGTAGACCAAGGAAGCCCAGGACCCCCGGGAGACCGAGCAGCAGGACCTCTGACCCACACACTTGCGAGCTGGTAAGTCTGGGGCTGGTTTGGAAGGGGTTAAGTGTCTGAAGAGTCTTTTGCATGAATCTCAACTCCCAGACTCTCTGATTTTTGTCCACAGCCCCACCATCATTGCAGTCTGAAACCAGCGCTGCCTCCAGTTAACCTGGCTCAGCCCAAGGACAGGAGAGAGACCACAGCCCCAGGTCACTGCATGCACCAAGCCAACAGCCAGCAAAGCCACCGCCTGGCAGGCACCACAAAGACCCTGGCCACTAAAGCCGCCAGCAAAAGGGCGCGGCCTACAGGAGGGATCAAGAAGCCTCACCGCTACAGGCCTGACAATGCGCGAAATCAGAAAGTACCAGAAGTCCATGCAGCTGTTACTCCTCAAGCTGCCCTTCCAGCGCCTGGTGCGCAAGATCTCCCAGGCCATCATCCTCGTCCTGCGCTTCCAAGCGCTACCATTGGCGACCTGCAGGAGCCCAGTGAGGCTTACCTGTTGCACCTCTTTGAAGACACCTAGCTCTGTGCCATCCATAAAAGCCCTGGCCTCTTCTCCCCTATATATGTATATTAGTGCTCTGCTTTGTACCTTCTTCCATAGGAAACAAAAATCCATCAGTTGATCATTTAAGCCTTTCTAGTTTGGGTACAAATTTTAGTGTAGTTGTACTTGTAAGCTTTGTACTTTATACTTCTAAAGATTAGACCCTAGATAATATGTGCTTGGAATAGTGGAGCTAGCTTACTTAAACTTTATTTAGGCATTTTGTGGGGGCAAAGGTAGGCAGTGAGGATGTTAAGCTTATCCCAAAATAGAAAATGATAGAAAATAGTCAAGTACAGTCACTTTATTTGTTAGGTATCTTGTCACCACTTTACCAGCACCAATCAGAGACCACATTTTTCTATGCAGTCTCCAAATGCACATTATGAGATAGACTTTAAGAATAGTGATGAAGCTCCAGGAAAAAATTCATTGTCATTAACATGTAATACAATCAGCCATGAAAGCTGTCAAAGATTTCTCCTGGAAAGGTACCACTTTCTACAGATTTCTTTCCTGAGAGCAGTGACTATATGATACTATATATTGAGAACATTTAGTATGTGATTATTAAAAAGTCAGAAAACAACAGATGTTGGCAAGGCTGTGGAGATATAGAAACACTTTTACAATGTCTGTGAGAGTGTAAATTAGTTCAACCATTGTGGAAGACAGTGTGGTGATTCCTCAAGGATCTAGAACCAGAAATACCATTGGACCCAGCCATCTCATTACTGTGTATATACCCAAAGGATTATAAATCATTCTACTATAAAGACACATACACATGATACATTGCAGCACAGTTTACAATAGCAAAGACTTGGAACCAACCCAAATGCCCATCAATGATAGACTGGATAATGACCATGTGGCATATATACACCAGGGAATACTATTCAGCCATAAAAAAGAATGAGTTCGTGTTCTTTGCGGTGACATGGATGACACTGGAAACCATCATTCTCAGCAAACTAATACAGGAACAGAAAATCAAACACCATATGTTCTCACTCATAAGTGGGAGTTGATCAATGAGAACACATGGACACAGAAAGGGGAACATCACACAACGTGGCCTGTCAAGGGGTAGGAGGCAAGGGAAAGGAGAGCATTAGGAAAAATCCCAATGCATGCGGAGCTTAAAGCCTAGATGATGGGTTGATTGGTGCAGCAAACCACTAGGGAACATGTAAAGCTTTGTTACAAACCTGCACATTCTGCACATGTATCCCATAACATAAAGTAAAAAAGAAAAAAAAGAATCTGTAAGGACGCTGAACCTTCTCAGCTAATCCAATTTTCCTCTCTGAGAAAACAACACTGTGTTCCTGCTCCTGACCTGACCTCTGAGACCTTGATGGGAACTTGTTTCTGTCTTCAGCAGTTCAGCTTTACTCAGACCCCATTCAAAATATTGAGTTCCATGAGAGGCCAGAGAAATGTTATAGGCTTGTGTGTGGAATCACCATAGCACTACTCTCTACAGATGCTTCTCTCCACCTCAGGCTGCTTGGGCCAGGTTCTCTTTTCCTCTACTGTTCAGAAAGTGCTAGACCTGTAACATCTGACAAAATACAGCTTCCATGACTCCTCAGTGCCATGGAAAAGGAATGAGCTGAGAGCAATCTAAAGACTGGGAGATATTAAGTCTCTTGGATCTTACTTGTTTTGGTTGCTCCAGCACTTTAATTCCTGAGAGAGCCCTCCCATCTCCATCAGTTCTTCCAAGAACCTGTACCCTCCTTGTGTCTCTCAGACGCAATGGTCTAACTTGTTAGATGCCTTTACAAGAAAGTTGGTGAAATAAAAGGAAAGCTAAACCATGTCAGAATATGGAGGTATGACACAGAATTTCCCCATACTTGGTAAAGTTTAGAAATTTGTGTGATACCCAAAGGCAGATTCTATGTACAATAAGTCCTATTTTCAGAGCAAAAGATGAGTGTATGAGGAAATAAAACTATATTTTATGGGGGTATCTTTGGCTTCAGGAAGAAAGAGTAAATATTATTCTCCATTCAATATTAGAGCTGAACTATGGGGTCTTTTTGATACTTTTTGCTTACACTCTGTGATTCAGGGGACACATGGCAAAGGTAAACAGACAGAAACAGCACCGTGGATATTGGTGAGCTGTGCTTGGAAGGGTCACAGTGATTCTATAATAACTCTCAGGTCTTTATTCTATAATGAAAAATTACTCTTTTCCATCATAAAGGTAAAGCAGAGTATGTACAAGTAGAGTGTGAAATAACTTTGTCACTCATGATGAACCTACTTGGTCCAATACTTTAACGACTTCTCCAATGTCTCTGTACTCAGGTTTGATTTCCTGAGTGGCTCATTGGTAGAATGAATAAAATCAAGACTCCTCTAAAGGAATGTTTGGAACTAAATTTCAGTGTCTCCGGAAGCACTGGTAAAATAACCATGTGTAGCGAACGTGCAGTATCAATTGGCTCTGTCTGTGTCTTTGGAACTGCCCATATGATCATTACAAATGGAGGCTTGAGGAAAGGTGGTTTTGGAATTGGTTTCTCTCTAGTCTTACACGATGCACCAATACTGTATTGCATTATGATTAAACTACAGGGCCACTTGCTGACGTAAGCAAAGTAGGCAGGAATGGAAGAGTCAACATGGAGAAAAAAAAATTCTTTGTGATTATATTTTTATTTCTGCAGTTTGGAAAACAGTTTAACTGCTTTTGTGATGACTAAAACAAATACATATGAGCATTGAAAATCAGAGGAGGACAACAATTGGGAAACATTTCTGGAGGCTTCGCTTACTGAAACCCAGACATCAGCATACAAGGTAAGACACAGCAACACCAGGCTTCAGAATGAAACCGTACAAATCTCCTGGAAAGGGTTTCCCTCTCCAAATGCAGCTACCTGTCCACAGGATGCTCAAGGCCCAGGCACCTTTATTCTTCCAACTAGAAAGACAGAGAAAAATGCCTCAATATGCCCCTGGAGTCCCAAACATTTAGCCAAGGCTACTGTGAAACAATCTGCTGTCTTCACCTAGGTAAGGTCAACTTCACAGTTTCAGACACTAAGATTGTGGGTGAATCCAGGGTGGACTGAGATAAGGAAGCTCCAGCAAATGCAGTCCTGTCATTGGAAGATGAATGCGATACTTATTCCTGCACAAACAGACCCTTCCCTCTGGCCTTGGGCTTAGAACATGATTTTTTTATAGTTGCTGTTGGGGAAGAGGCCCTTGGGCTTTAACCTGCGAACGGCCTCCCTTAAATGCTTGGGCTGCAGCGGGGGCGTTTCTCCCCACATCTCGCACACGTCCAGGGCCTCTTCCACCACCTCTCCAACCAAGACCTTAGCTATTCCAGCCATGGCAATGGCGGTGTTCTCAGACACCGATCTGCCAGTGATAGACTGCATCAGAGCTGCAATGCGTGCTTTTGGGAAAGCTGACCGGCGACACACTTCGTAGCGGGATAGCTGCTCCTCAGACATGGCATACAGCAGGGTTGTCATCTGAGCCTCCTCTGCATCCACGGTGGGCTTCCTCTCCTTCTTCCCCTTGGTATCTGTTTTCTGTCTTTTGGCTGCAGGAGGAGCTGAGGCTGATGCTTCATTGTCACCTTCTGTGAGGTCCATGACATCCTGACTTCTGAGCTCACTTTCCTGATCCCTGGGTTCTTCCAAGTTCCCATCTAGGTCCTCAGGGATTCCATCCTTGTTGCTGCCCTTCAGACCTTGGGGCATGGCGAACATCTCAGCAGACGCACCTCTTTGCCTGCCTGTCTCCATGGGTGAGATTCAAGTCTGCTCCGTGACAGCAGCTGTACAGGCAGAAGTTCTGGCTGGGGTGGTTCGATTATGGATCTGCAATGAGAACCTTTCAAAGAGTTGAGCTGCTGTGTTTCTGCTGTGCCAGTTTAACCATAACTGGACACAGCCCCCTGCCTCCCCTTCCCACATGCAAACACACACACTGAATGTTCTCACTTCCACAATGTGAAGAAACTTGTGGATGGAGAGTATATTAGTTTTAGATCAATGCAGAATAAATTCTCACCAATTTTGGATATTTAAAACAAACACCAGCTCACAGGTCAGAAGTACTGCTAGGCCAAGTGACTGCCTCCTGCTCAGAGTCACATGACGGACCTCCAGGATGGGTCTGGCTGTGTGGTCATTACCTTCACGTGAGAAGGGTCTGTCTTCAATCTCATTCGTGTTGGTGGCAGAATTCAATGCCTTAGGGTTGTGAGCCCCAGGCCCACTTGTTTGTTCTGCCTGCTGCTGTGAGGATGCTCTCAGCTCCTACAAGTGTTGCCCAGGTCTGGGCTGTGAGGCTCCCTAGGTCTGCACAGCCAGTGCTGGGGAATCTCCCATGGGGGAATGTAATCTCAGGGAGGTTCAGTCCTCCCTTATAAAGAGCTCAGATGATTGAATTAGACCCAGCCCTTAGCAGCTATTGGTTCAGGATATCCCTAATCTAATCAGGGATTTGGGCGGGCTCATCAATTCGTGGTTCTGCCCACACCCAAGGGAGGGGCAGACACAGGGTGAGTCTCTGAGGGGTGGGAAATGCAGGGGGCATTTCAGAATTCAGTCTTCCTCACAGAATTGCAAAGTTCACATTTCACAACAATAAAGAAACTATTTACAGTAAAAATGAGATATTTTATGAAGTTGCACATTAGAAAACTTCAGTGTCTGAGAAAAACGTCTCTAACTCACAGGGAAACAAGTGTTTTATCAAATACTCTGAAAATAAAATGGGCTGCATGAGGGGAATATGAAAATATTATTTCAATTTTATTTTATCTTCTTTTATTTTATTGATTTATTTTTGAGACGGAGTCTCACTCTGTCCCCCAGGCTGGGTTACAGTGGCCTGATCTCAGCTCACTGCAGCCTCCACATCCTGGGCTCAAGGGATTCTCCTGCCGCATCCTCCAGAGTAGCTGGGACTAAATGTACGCGCCACCACGCCAGGCAAATTTTTGTCTTTTTTAAAGTAGAGAGGAGGTTTCACCATTTTGGCCAGGCTGGTCTTCAACTGCTGACTTCAGGTGATCTGCCCCATCTTGGCTTCCCAAAGTGAAGGGACTATAGGCGTGAGCGACTGTGCCCAGACTATGATAGTTTCACACTGAAGCCTGAAGCTGCTCTGCCTTAGGATTTTTCCTGAGTTTTACTTTCTTGTCATGATGAGTTGCTAGTTCATATTTTCTGTTGGATCTTTTAGAAAGGCATTACTGATGAGATTATGGCTTTATCACAAAAAATACTACTTTGGTGAAACTCTATTGAAATTAACAGTACCTTAAGTTTCCAATACTTATCAAGTACAATATTTGAACATGGCATGGTAGGTGAACGTGTAAGAAGCAGAATTTGGCAAACTCCATTTTTTTCCATTTTGACGGTTTCAGGTTTTTTGGTTTCAGCCAAACTAAAGAATGTCCTAATGAGCTGTCAATTCACAGAACACTACAGACAATTTTTGAAACTAAATCATAGTTTAATTTTTGGAGTATGATTCTAAAGAAATTTGAATAATCTGGTGGTATGTCTAACACAAAACATGGTTGTTCAGCTCTTTCATCTTTAAAAACAAACAAAAACAGGATGTGGAATTCTCACATTTTGCCAAACAGCAGTATGCTCCCTTGAATATGTGACTAAGAAAACTAAGTCATTGGAAAATAAATAAATAAAGGAAAAACCTCCTCTGTCTCAATAATAGTTTCATTGAGAAAAATGTATTTTTTAAAAACTGCTGGCTATGTCTTGATATTTTTAGACATGGCAATAAGTTGAAATGTCATGAATCGTCTCTCTAACATTCATGCTACTTAAGAAACTCTTCCCAAGATTGGACTGCATTCATTTCATAAAAGCCCTGACCTCCTCTCCCCTATATACATATATTAGCACTCTGCTTTGTACCCTCTTCCGTAGGAAACACAAATCCATCAATTGATCATTTAAGCCTTTCCAGTTTGGGTACAACTTTTTGTATAGATGTAAGATTTGCACTTTATACTTCTAAAGACTAGACCCAGATAATATGTGCTTGGGAATAGTGGAGCTAGCTTGCTTAAACTTTATTTAGACATATGCTAATTACTTGTGGGGGGCAAAGGCAGGCAGTGAGGATGTTAAGCTTTTCCCAAAATAGTCAGTTTTGGAAAATAGTCAAGTACGGGCCGGGCGCGGTGGCCCACGCCTGTAATCCCAGCACTTTGGGAGGCCGAGGCACCCAGTCTCGAGGGCAGGAGATCGAGACCATCATGATTAACACGGTGAAACCCGGTCTCTGCTAAAAATACAAACATTAGCTGGGTGTGGTGGCAGGCGCTTCTATTCCCAGATACTCAGGAGACCGAGGCAGGAGAATAGCATGATCCTGGGAGGCGGAGCTTGCAGTGAGCAGAGATTGCGCCACTACATTTCAGACTGGGCAACGGAGTGAGACTCTGTTTCTTTCGTAGGTATCTTGTCACCACTTAAGGAGCACCAATCAGAGACCACATTTTTCTAGGCAGTCTCCAAATGTACATTATGAATAGTAATGTACTTTAAGAATAGTGATGAAGCTCCAGGAAAAATTGCATTGTCATTAACATGTAATACAATCAGCCATGAATGCTGTCAAAGATTTCTCCTGAAAAGATATCACTTTCTACAGATTTCTTTCCTGAGAGCTGTGGCTATATGATATTATATATTGAGAAGATTTAGTATGTGATTATTAAAAGGTCAGGAAACAACAGATGCTGGCAAGGCTGTGGAGATATAGAAACACTTTTACAATGTCTGTGAGAGTGTAAATTAGTTCAACCATTGTGGAAGACAGTGTGGCGATTCCTCAAGGATATAGAACCAGAAATACCGTTGGACCCAGCAATTTCATTACTGGGTATATACCCAAAGGATTATACATCATTCTACTATAAAGACACATATACATGTAAGTTTACTGCAGCACAGTTTACAATAGCAAAGACTTGGAACCAACCCAAATGCCCATCAATGATAGACTGGATAAAGAACATGTGGCATATATACAGCATGGAATACTATGCAGCCATAAAAAAGAATGAACTCCTGTTTTTGCGGTGACTTGGATAACACTGAAAACCATCATTCTCAGCAAACTAACACAGGAACAGAAAACCAAACACCCTATGTTCTCACTCACACGTGGGAGCTGATCAATGAGAACACACCGACACAGAGAGGGGAACATCACACAGCATGGCCTGTCAGGTGATGGGAGGCAAGGGAAGGGAGAGCATCAGGACAAATATGCAATGCACGCAGGGCTTAAAGCCTCCATGATGGGTTGATAGGTGCAGCAAACCACTAGGGCACATGTATACCTTTGTAACAAACCTGCACATTCTGCACATGGATCCCAAAACTGAAAGTTAAAAAGAAAAGAATGTGTAAGGACACTGAACCTTCTCAGCTAATCCAATTTTCCTCTCTGAGAAAACAATGCTGTGTTCCTGCTCCTGAGCTGACCTCTGAGACCTTGATGGGAACTTGTTTCTGTCTTCAGCAGTTCAGCTTTACTCAGACCCCACTCAGAGTATTGAGTTCTATGAGGGGCCAGAAAAATGTTGTGATGTTCTAATTAGAACATTAAAATATTCTAAGCTTTTGTGTGGAATCACCATCAGCACTGCTCTCTACAGATGCTTGCCTCCACCTCGGCAGACCAACCTGCTTGGGCCAAGTTCTCTTTGCCTCTACTGTTCAGAAAGGGCTAGACCTGCAACATCTGACACAAGACACCTTCCATGACTCCTCAGTGCCATGGAAAAGGAATGAGCTGAGAGCAATCTAAAGACTGGGAGATATTAAGTCTCTTGGATCTTATTTCTTTTGGTTACTCCAGCACTTTAATTCCTGAGAGAGCCCTCCCATCTCCATCAGTTCTTCCAAGAACCTGTACCCTCCTTGTGTCTCTAAGACACAATGGTCTAACTTGATATATGCCTTTACAAGAAAGTTGGTGAAATAAAAGGAAAGCTAAACCATGTCAGAATATGGAGGTATGAAACAGAATTTCCCCATACTTGGTAAAGTTTAGAAATTTGTGTGATACCCAAAGGCAGATTCTATGTACACTCAGTCCTATTTTCAGAGCAAAAGCTGAGTGTATGAGGAAATAAAACTATATTTTATGGGGGTATCTTTGGCTTCAGGAAGAAAGAGTACATGTTACTCTGCATTCAATATTAGAGTTGAACTATGGGGTCGTTTCGATCCTTTTTGCTTACACTCTGTGATTCAGGGGGCACATGGCAAAGGTAAACAGACTGAAACAGCACCATGGATATCTCTGAGCTGTGCTGGGAAGGCTCACGGTGATTCCATAATAAATCTCAGGTCTTTATTATATAAAGAAAAATTACTCTTTACATCATAAAGGTAAAGCAGAGTATGTACAAGTAGAGTGTGGAATAACTTTGTCACTTGTGATGAATCTACTTGGTCTGATACTTTAACAACCTCTCCAATGTCTCTGTACTCAGGTTTGATTTTCTGAGTGGATCATCGGTAGAATGAATGAAATCAAGAATACTCTAAAGCACTGTTTGGAACTAAATTTCAGTGTCTCTGGAAGCACTGATAAAATCACCATGTGTAGCGAACGTGAAGTATCAATAGGCTCTCTCTGTGTCTTTGAAATGGCCCATATGATCGTTACAAATGGCGGCTTGAGCAAAGGTGGTGTTGGAATTGGTTTCTCGCTAGTCTTACGTGATGCATCTATACTATATTGCATTATAATAAAGGAAAGGGTCACTTGCTGACATAAAGCACCATGGGCAGGAATAGAAGAGTCAACTTAGAGAAAAAAAGTGCTTTGTGACTTTATTTTTATTTCTGCAGTTTGGAAAACAGTTTAACTGCTTTTGTGATGACTCACAAAAATACATATGAGCATTGAAAATGTACAGAAGAACAACAATTGGGAAACATTTCTGGAAGCTTCAATTACTGAAACCCAGATATAAGCATACAAGCTAAGACACAGCTACACCAGGCTTCAGCAGGAAACCATACAAATCTCCTGGGAAGGGCTTCCCTCTCTGAATGCAGCTACCTGTCCACAGGATGCTCTAGGCCCAGGCACCTTGATTCTTCCAACTAGAAAGACAGAGAAAAATACCTCAACACACCATTAAAATGTCCAAATATTTAGCCAAGGCTCCTATGAAACAACCTGCTGTCTTCACCTAGGTAAGGTCAACTTCACAGTTTCAGACACTAAGATCGTGGGTAAATCCAGGGTGGACTGAGATAAGGAAGCTCCAGCAAATGCAGTCCTGTCATTGGAAGATGAATGCGATACTTATTCCTGCACAAACAGACCTTTCCCTCTGTCCTTAGGCCTAGAACATGATTTTTTTGTAGTTGCTGTTGGGGAGGATGCCCTTGGGCTTTAACCTGCGAACAGCCTCCCGTAAATGCTTGGGCTGCAGCGGGGGCGTTTCTCCCCACATTTCGCACACGTCCAGGGCCTCTTCCACCACCTCTCCCACAAAGACCTTGGCTATTCCAGCCATGGCAATGGCGGTGTTCTCAGACACCGATCTGCCAGTGATGGACTGCATCAGAGCTGCAATGCGTGCTTTTGGGAAAGCTGACCGGCGACACACTTCGTAGCGAGATAGCTGCTCCTCAGACATGGCAGAAAACAGGGTTGTCATCCTCTGAGCCTCCTCTGCATCCATGGTGGGCTTCCTCTCCTTCTTCCCCTTGGTATCTGTTTTCTGCCTTTTAGCTGAAGGAGGAGTTGAGGCTGACGCTTCATTGTCACCTTCTGTGAGGTCCATGACATCCTGACTCCTGAGCTCACTTTCCTGATCCCTGGGTTCTTCCAAGTTCCCATCTAGGTCCTCAGGGATTCCATCCTTGTTGCTGTACTTCAGACCTCGGGGCATGGGGAACATCTCAGCAGAGGCATCTCTTTGCCTGCCTGTCTCCATGGGTGAGATTCCAGTCTGCTCCGTGACAGCAGCTGTACAGGCAGAAGTTCTGGCTGGGGTGGTTCGATTATGGATCTGCAATGAGAACCTCTCAAAGAGTTTAGCTTCTGTGTTTCTGCTGTGCCAGTTTAACCATAACTGGACACAGCCCCCTGCCTCCCCTTCCCACACACAAACACACACACTGAATGTTCTCACTTCCACAATGTGAAGAAACTTGTGGATGGAGAGTATATTAGTCTTAGATCAATGCAGAATAAATTCTCACCAATTTTGGATATTTAAAACAAACACCAACTCACAGGTCAGAAGTTCTGCTAGGCCAAGTGACTGCCTCCTGCTCAGAGTCACATGAGGGACCTCCAGGATGGGTCTGGCTGTGTGGTCGTCACCTTCACCTGAGAAGGGTCTGGCTTCGATCTCATTCGAGTTAGTGGCAGAATTCAATGTCTTAGGGTTGTGAGCCCTAGGCCCACTTGTTTGTTCTGCCTGCTGCCGTGAGGATGCTCTCAGCTCCTACAAGTGTTGCCCAGGTCTGGGCTGTGAGGCTCCCTGGGTGTGCACAGCCAGTGCTGGGGGAATCTCCACAGGGGAGTGTAATCACAGGGAGGTTCAGTCCTCCCTTATAAAGAGCTCAGATGATTGAATTAGACCCAGCCCTTAGCAGCTATTGGTTCAGGATATCCCTGATCTAATCAGGAAGTCGGGCGGGCACATCAATTCATGCTTCCGCCCACACCCAAGGGAGGGGCAGACACAGGGCGAGTCTCTGAGGGGTGGGAAATGCAGGGGGCATTTCAGAATTCAGTCTTCCTCGCAGAATCACAAAGTTCACATTTCACAACAATAAAGAAAACATTTACATTAAAAATGAGACATATTACGAAGTTGCACAGTAGAAAACTGTCTGAGAAGAAAATCTCTGACTCAGGGAAACAAGTGGTTTACCAGATACTCTGAAAATAGACTAGGCTGGGTGAGGGGAATATGAAAATATTATTTCAATTTTATTTTACTTTATTTTATGTATTTATTTATTTTTGAGACAGTCTCACTCCATCCCCCAGGCTGGATTGCAGTGGCCTGATCTCAGCTCACTGCCGCCTCCGCCTCTTGGGCACAAGCAACTCTCCTGCCTCAGCCTCCAGAGTAGCTGGGACTAAATGTGCACCCCACCACACCGGTATAATTTTTGTATTTTTTAAAGTAGAAAGGACGTTTCACCATTTTGGCCAGGCTGGTCTTGAACCACTTACTTCAAGTGATCTGCCTCCCTTGGTTTCTCAAAATGAAGTGATTACAGGCATGAGCCACTGCGCCCAGACTTCAATTTATATATTACATGTATATGTATACATAGGACACAGAGAAGCATCAAAGAGACATACAATTATGTCATGCACAAAGACATAAATCACATTTAGGGAAAATTATGCTGAGAAATGGCATAAAAAGTACTTCAGAATATAAAGCAGACACTCAAATATCTGACCTTTAAAGAGCTTTTGTTTATTCAAAAATAGTTGGTAGAAGATATGAAATTACTGGCCAGACGTGATGGCTCATACCTGTAATCTCAGTATTTTGGGAGGCCGAGGTGGGTGGATCTCCTGAGATCAGGAGTTTAAGACCAGCCTGGACAACATGGGGAAACCACTCTTTTCCAGCAACACATTGATATCAGAACTTTTTCTTTTCTTTTTATTTTCAATTTTATTATTATTATACTTTAAGTTTTAGGGTACATGTGCATAACGTGCAGATTAGTTACATATGTATGTATGTGCCATGTTGGTGTGCTGCACCAATTAACTCATCATTTAGCATTAGGTATATCTCCTAATGCTATCCCTCCCCCCTCCCCCCACCCCACAACAGTCCCCGGTGTGTGATGTTCCCCTTCCTGTGTCCTTTTGGTAAGACACCAAACTGTGTGTCATCCATGCCAGGAGAGTCCCAGTTATGCCCAGAGACATGCAGCTGGCCCACAGCCTCCGTGGAGAGGGTGCTTAAGAGCCCACACTCCTGGGAAATCTTGCATTGCAAATGGTTTCCTTTGTGTTGTGTTGTGTTTTTCTCTGTTAATGGTTTCTCTTTTGCTGTGTTGTGTTTTCTTTCTGTTAATGATAGATATGATGTTAGAAGTTCTGTTCAGAGATAGTATCGTTTCTCGCATGGGGTCAAAAAGTAGCTAAGCATATGATCGGGAGTAAAAATAGAAGCAGAAGTCACAGCTAGTGACTGTGTTTCCATTTTGTTTTGTTTGTAAACTTCCAAACTACATTGAGGGTCTAATGCATTCATCGAAATGTCTCAGTGAACACGTTTCTGCATATCACATCAAGAAAAATTGTGGAGAAATGAGTTCCTTAATATTATTGAAAATCAAGTAAATGTATAGGTGCCAAATAGACAATGTCTCCTGCAATTGATCAAACGGTGGATGGGATCCACACTTTAACTTTTTCTATATGCAGCTCCATGTTTGCAATGTTCCCTGTCTCACAGACTGCTCCTGCTAGTTTCCTGTGAACACACATTGACCTCTACTTTCTAAAATGTGAAAATACTCTTTATCCACAAGTTGCTTCACATTACAGGAGGCAGAAAAACCACTGTAGGTCTGTTTGTGGGTGAAAAAGGGAGAGAGGCAGCCTTTAGAAGTCCGATGCAGTCCATCACCAGCAGTTCAGTGTCCTAGAACGTAGTCACAGCCGTAGCCATGGCTGGAATGACCCAGGTCTTGGTCCACGAGCTGGTAGGAGAGGCGCTGGACATGTGTGAGATGTGGGGAGACATATCCCTGCTGCAACCCAAGCATTGCAGCGAGGCCTTACACAGGGGACAGCCCAGGGCCCATTCCCCCAACATCGAGAAAAAAAAAAAAAAACCCATCTTCCTCCAGATCCCAGCCCAGATAGAAAGGCCTGATTTTAGAGGAGAAAGTACTGCTTCTAGTCTTTCTATGAGAGCACACTTTCTATGCTGGAGCTTCAGTATCTCAGCCCATCCTGGACTTACCCGTAATTTAACGTCTTTCTTACATTTTACATTGGTTACACCCAGATGAAGGCAGCAGCCTGTTTGATCATCCCTTTCAATCATATTTGTATCTCAGACCATGCACAGTGGCTTATTCCTGTTATCCCACCATTTTGGGTGGCCGAACTGGCAGATCACTTGAACTCGAGTTCCAGACCGCCTCCCTTAAAAAAAAAAAAAAAAAAAAAAAAAAGAGCTGGGCATGGTCACTAGTTCCTGCTGTTTCACCTACTCATTCTGGAGTGTGTGGTAGGAGAATCGCTGGTGCACCAGAGGTGGAGGTTGCAGTAAGTAGAGATGGCGCCACTGCCCTCACACCTGGCCAACAGGGTGAGACCCTGTCTCAAAATTAGTAACAATCATCACCATCATATTTGGAACTCTGAGGTCCACGCATGCTAAGGCATTGTTCTGGGGCATCCTGGTTGGGAGAAGAATGGTACACGAGCCTCGAGCATCGTGTGAATGGTGAGCTGTTTTTACAAAGAAAAAGGAAACTCTTTTCAGAGACTATGATGAAATCACACTGTATCCTGAAGTTGCTATGACTTAGGATGTTTTTGCTTCTATATGACTTGTAGGAGATAAAACAGAGTCTTCCCTTATAATACTTTTTCCTGAAGGCCCTGGCTTTCTAAAAGCATTGGAATAGATCCCCTTATAAACATTTGTACTTTTCATAACTTTGTCTGGGGAATCAACTGTTTTTGAGCTTGCAAAAAAAAAACAATTGAATTAAATACCAGATTTTCCTCTACGATGATTTTTTTCACGTTCTGGCCAAAATTGTTTCATGTCAGAGAGCGATCTTTGAGGATGCTGGAATAGTAACACACTCTAGGAGCCAGATGGAAAACTAGACAGAGAAACAAAGACCCCAGAAACCCTGTCTAACCTCTGCATTCATTTCCACACCTTCACCTCCAAAGAACTGGTCCCAAAGTAACCTTTGTTTATGACTGAAATAACATATTGATCTCTGTTTTGTCCTTCTTTAAAACAGAAATGCATATAATAATATTATATTTTATTCTAGATAATATTCTATTTTTACTTTATTTTTCAAATGATTATATAAGAAATACAGAAATAAAAAACAAAATTTTCTCTCTCTGTAGGATTTGACCATTGGATATTTTGTACAATTGAACCCTACTTGTCATTATATGAACAAGTAATTGATCAAATATCTTGAAAATAAGATAAACTCTAATAAACATATAGCAACAATAAAATGGAGTTCCAGTTTTCAGGATGGCCCATAAAAAAGATTCCATGTCATTACTCTGTCTTAACAATCAGTAAAAAACTGAAAAAGTAAAGAATCTATATCTCTTTGACATCTGTCTGAGTGGTGCTGTCATAGGGCAAACCATAGAGAAAATTAAAAAATCCATGCCTTCCTTGTTTCAAAATATTCTATCAAGCGGTAGGAACAAAAATGGCATAAGAATGGCATCGAAACAGAAATCAAAGCCGATGGAACAGAGCAGAGAGCCCAGAAATCACTCGAAATGTGTACAGCCAATTACAGTTTTACAAATGCGCCAACAACACACAATGACAAAAGGACAGTCTCTTCCATCAGTGGTGATAGGAAACTGGGTATCTACCGGCAGTAAAATGAAATTGGGCCCTAATCTCTTACCATACACAAGAATCAAACAAACTATAGTCAAAACTTTAAACTGTGAACCTACTAGAAGGAAACAGGGGACATCCTCATTGACATTGGTTACGCCAATAATTTTTGAAATATGTCCCAAACGCATAGGCAGCACAAGGGAAAATAGACAAATGGATTGCATCCAAATGAAAAAAAAAATTCTACACAGTAAAAGAAATAATTAACACCATGAAGAGACAAAATCATCATGAGAAAAAATACTTGCAAACACTATATCCAATAAGGGATTAATTAGTTACTGTTCAAAATATACCATGAACTCAAAGGACTCAACAGCAAGAAACAACACAATTTTAAAACTGGGCAAAGGACCTAAATAATAGACATCTCGGGAGAGAAGATATACAAGTGACCAGCAGGCATATATATATACTCGACGTCACCAATCTTCAGAGAAACACATATAAAAACTAAAAGAAGACATCACCTCACAAATAAAATAAAATAAAATAAAATAAAGTGACGTAAAATAAAATTGAAATAATATTTTCACGTTTCCCTCACCCAGCCCATTTTATTTGCAGAGTATTTGATAAACCGCTTTCTTCCCTGTGCGTTAGAGAGTTTTTTTCTCAGACATCGAAGTTTTCTAATGCTCAACTTCGTAAAATGTCTCATTTTTACTGTAAATAGTTTCTTTACTGTTGTGAGATGTGAACTTTGCGATTCTGTGAAGAGGACTGAATTCTGAAATGCCCCCTGCATTTCCCGCCCCTCGGAGAGTCGCCCTGTGTCTGCCCCTCCCTTGGGTGTGGGCGGAAGCACGAATTGATGTGCCCGCCCGACTTCCTCATTAGATTGGGGGGTATCCTGAACCAACGGCTGCTAAGGGCTGGGTCTAATCCAGTCATCTGAGCCCTTTATAAGGGAGGACTGAACCCCCCTGTGATTACGCTCCCCTGTGGGAGATTCCCCAGCACTGGCTGTGCACACCCAGGGAGCCTCACGGCCCAGACCTGGGCAGCACGGGTAGGAGCTGAGAGCATCCTCACGGCAGCAGGCAGAACAAACAAGTGGGCCTGGGGCTCGCAACCCTGAGGCATTGTTGAATTCTGCCACCAACTCGAATCGGATCGAAGCCAGACCCTTCTCAGGTGGAGGCAACGACCGCACAGCCAGACCCATCCTGGAGGTCCCTCGTGGGACTCTGAGCAGGAGGCAGTCACTTGGCCTAGCAGAACTTCTGACCTGTGAGCTGGTGTTTGTTTTAAATACCCCAAATTGGTGAGAATTCGTTCTGCATTGACCTAAAACTAACATACTCTCCTTCCACAAGTTTCTTCACACTGTGGAAGCGAGAAAATTCAGTGTGTGTGTTTGTGTGTGGGAAGGGGCGGCCGGGAGCCGTGTCCGGTTACGGCGAAACTGGCTCAGCAGAAACACAGCAGCTAAAATCTTTGAAAGGTTCTCATCGCAGATCCACAATCAAACCACCCCAGCCGGAACTTCTGCCTGTACAGCTGCTGTCACGGAGCAGACTTGAATCTCACCCATGGAGACCGGCAGGCAAACAGGTGTGTCTGCTGAGATGCTCGCCATGCCCCGAGGTCTGAAGGGCAGCAAGAAGGATGGAATCCCTGAGGACCTAGACGGGAACTTGGAAGCACCCCAGGATCAGGAAGTGAGCTCAGAGTGAGATTCCCCAGCACTGGATTGTGTCCACCCAGGGATCCTCTCGGCCCAGACATTGGGCAGCACGGGTAGGAGCTGAGAGCATCCTCACGGCAGCAGGCAGAACAAAAAAGTGGGCCTGGGGCTCGCAACCCTGAGGCATTGTTGAATTCTGCCACCAACTCGAATCGGATCGAAGCCAGACCCTTCTCAGGTGGAGGCAACGACCGCACAGCCAGACCCATCCTGGAGGTCCCTCGTGGGACTCTGAGCAGGAGGCAGTCACTTGGCCTAGCAGAACTTCTGACCTGTGAGCTGGTGTTTGTTTTAAATACCCAAAATTGGTGAGAATTCGTTCTGCATTGACCTAAAACTAACATACTCTCCTTCCACAAGTTTCTTCACACTGTGGAAGCGAGAAAATTCAGTGTGTGTGTTTGTGTGTGGGAAGGGGCGGCCGGGAGCCGTGTCCGGTTACGGCGAAACTGGCTCAGCAGAAACACAGCAGCTAAAATCTTTGAAAGGTTCTCATCGCAGATCCACAATCAAACCACCCCAGCCGGAACTTCTGCCTGTACAGCTGCTGTCACGGAGCAGACTTGAATCTCACCCATGGAGACCGGCAGGCAAACAGGTGTGTCTGCTGAGATGCTCGCCATGCCCCGAGGTCTGAAGGGCAGCAAGAAGGATGGAATCCCTGAGGACCTAGACGGGAACTTGGAAGCACCCAGGGATCAGGAAGGTGAGCTCAGGAGTGAGGATGTCATGGACCTCACAGAAGGTGACAGTGAGGCCTCAGCCTCAGCTCCTCCTGCAGCCAAAAGACGGAAAACACATACGAAAGGCAAGAAGGAGAGCAAGCCCACCGTGGATGCGGAGGAGGCTCAGAGGATGACAACCCTGCTGTCTGCCATGTCTGAGGAGCAGCTGTCCCGCTACGAAGTGTGTCGCCGGTCAGCGTTCCCGAGAGCACGCGTTGCGGGTCTGATGCGGGCTATCACTGGCAGTTCGGTGTCGGAGAACGCGGCCATTGCCATGGCTGGAATAGCCAAGCTCTTTGTTGGAGAGGTGGTGGAAGAGGCCCTGGACGTGTGTGAGATGTGGGGAGAGACGCCCCCGCTGCAGCCCAAGCATTTAAGGGAGGCCGTTCGCAGGTTAAAGCCCAAGGGCCTCTTCCCCAACAGCAACTGCAAAAGAATCATGTTCTAGGCCCAGGGCCAGAGGGCAGGGTCTGTTTGTGCAGGAATAAGTACCGCGTTCATCTTCCAATGACAGGAGTGTGTGCGCCGGAGCTCCCGCATCTCAGTCCCACCTGGATTTACCCACGATCTTCGTGTCTTAAAATGCGAAGTTGCCCTTACCTGGATGAAGACAGCAGATCGCTTCACAGGAGCCTTGGCTAAATCTTTGGGCATTTTAATGGGATGTGGAGGCGTTTCTCTATGTCTTTCCAGCTGGAGGAATCAAGGTGCCTGGGCCTAGAGCATCCCGTGGACAGGCAGCTGCATTCAGAGAGGGAAGCCCTTCCCAGGAGATCTGTATGGTTTCCTGCTGAAGCCTGGTGTAGCTCTGTCTTAGCTTGTAGGCTTATGTCTGGGTTCCAGTAATTGGAGCTTGCAGAAATGTTTCCCCGATTGTTGTTCTTCTGTAGAATTTCAACGCTCATATGTATTTTTGTGAGTCACCACGAAAACAGTTAAACTGATCAACCGTTTTCCAAACTGCAGACACCAAATTGAAATCACAAAGCACTTTCTTTTTTTCCCCTAAGTTGACTCTTCTATTCCTGCCTGCTGTGCTTTATGTCAGCAAGTGACCCTTTCCTGTATTATAATGCAGTATAGTATAGATGCATCATGTAAGACCAGAGAGAAACCGATTCCAAAACCACCTTTCCTCAAGCCGCCGTTTGCAACGACCATATGGGGGGTTTGAAGGACACAGAGAGAGCCTATTGACACTTCACTTTCGCTACACGTGGTGATTTTTCCAGTGCTTCCGGAGACACTGAAATTTAGTTCCAAACATTGCCTTAGAGGATTCTGCATTTTATTCATTCTACCGATGATCCACTCAGAAAATCAAACCTGAGTACGGAGACATTGGAGAAGTCGTTAAAGTATTGGACCAAGTCGGTTCGTCACGAGTGACAAAGTTATTCCACACTCTACTTGTACATACTCTGCTTTGCCTTCAGGATGGCAAAGAGTAATTTTTCGCTATAGAGTAAAAACCCGAGATTTATTACGGAATCAGCGTGAACCTTCCCAGCACAGCTCACAGAGCATACGCCAAAAATTACAGTGTGATTCAGTTTCAAAAATTGTCTGTAGTGACCTGTGAATTCACAGCTCGTGAGGACATTCTTTAGTTCGGCTGAAGCCAAAAAACCTGGAACCATCGAAATGGGAAGAAGTGGAGTCTGCCAAATTCTGCCTCTTACACTTTCAGCTACCACGCCATGTTCAACTATTGTACTTGATAAGGATTGGAAATTTAAGGTACTGATAATTTCAACAGAGTTTCACCAGAGTAGTATTTCTTGTGAGAAAGCCATGATCTCATCAGTAACGCCTTTCTAAAAGATCCAACAGAAAATATGAACTAGCAACTCATCCTGACAAGGAAGTAAAACTCAGGAAAAATCCTAAGGCAGAGCAGCGTCAGGCTTCAGTGTGAAACTATCATAGTCTGGGCGCGGTGGCTCACGCCTATAGTCCCTTCGCTTTGGGAAGCCAAGGTGGGGCAGATCACCTGAAGTCAGCAGTTCAAGACCAGCCTGGGCAAAATGGCGAGACCTCGTCTCTACTTGAGCAAATACAAAAATTTGCCCGGCGTGGTAGCGCGCACATTTAGTCCCAGCCACTCTGGAGGCTGAGGCAGGAGAATCCGTTGAGCCTAGGATGCCGAGGCTGCAGTGGGCTGAGATGAGGCCGCTGTAATCCAGCCTGGGGGACAGAGCGAGGCACTGTCTCAGAAATAAACAAATAAAATAAAATAAACTAAAATAAAGTGACGTAAAATAAAAT
The DNA here is from genome assembly GCF_000001405.40 of Homo sapiens. Classification (NCBI taxonomy): domain Eukaryota; kingdom Metazoa; phylum Chordata; class Mammalia; order Primates; family Hominidae; genus Homo; species Homo sapiens. Next base: position 17,595,411 of record NC_000005.10, on the reverse strand, counting down.
TGAAATAATATTTTCACGTTTCCCTCACCCAGCCCATTTTATTTTCAGAGTATTGGATAAACCGCTTTCTTCCCTGTGCGTTAGAGAGTTTTTTTTCTCAGACATCGAAGTTTTCTAATGCTCAACTTCGTAAAATGTCTCATTTTTACTGTAAATAGTTTCTTTACTGTTGTGAGATGTGAACTTTGCGATTCTGTGAAGAGGACTGAATTCTGAAATGCCCCCTGCATTTCCCGCCCCTCGGAGAGTCGCCCTGTGTCTGCCCCTCCCTTGGGTGTGGGCGGAAGCACGAATTGATGTGCCCGCCCGACTTCCTCATTAGATTGGGGGGTATCCTGAACCAACGGCTGCTAAGGGCTGGGTCTAATCCAGTCATCTGAGCCCTTTATAAGGGAGGACTGAACCCCCCTGGGATTACGCTCCCCTGTGGGAGATTCCCCAGCACTGGCTGTGCACACCCAGGGAGCCTCACGGCCCAGACCTGGGCAGCACGGGTAGGAGCTGAGAGCATCCTCACGGCAGCAGGCAGAACAAACAAGTGGGCCTGGGGCTCGCAACCCTGAGGCATTGTTGAATTCTGCCACCAACTCGAATCGGATCGAAGCCAGACCCTTCTCAGGTGGAGGCAACGACCGCACAGCCAGACCCATCCTGGAGGTCCCTCGTGGGACTCTGAGCAGGAGGCAGTCACTTGGCCTAGCAGAACTTCTGACCTGTGAGCTGGTGTTTGTTTTAAATACCCAAAATTGGTGAGAATTCGTTCTGCATTGACCTAAAACTAACATACTCTCCTTCCACAAGTTTCTTCACACTGTGGAAGCGAGAAAATTCAGTGTGTGTGTTTGTGTGTGGGAAGGGGCGGCCGGGAGCCGTGTCCGGTTACGGCGAAACTGGCTCAGCAGAAACACAGCAGCTAAAATCTTTGAAAGGTTCTCATCGCAGATCCACAGTCAAACCACCCCAGCCGGAACTTCTGCCTGTACAGCTGCTGTCACGGAGCAGACTTGAATCTCACCCATGGAGACCGGCAGGCAAACAGGTGTGTCTGCTGAGATGCTCGCCATGCCCCGAGGTCTGAAGGGCAGCAAGAAGGATGGAATCCCTGAGGACCTAGACGGGAACTTGGAAGCACCCAGGGATCAGGAAGGTGAGCTCAGGAGTGAGGATGTCATGGACCTCACAGAAGGTGACAGTGAGGCCTCAGCCTCAGCTCCTCCTGCAGCCAAAAGACGGAAAACACATACGAAAGGCAAGAAGGAGAGCAAGCCCACCGTGGATGCGGAGGAGGCTCAGAGGATGACAACCCTGCTGTCTGCCATGTCTGAGGAGCAGCTGTCCCGCTACGAAGTGTGTCGCCGGTCAGCGTTCCCGAGAGCACGCGTTGCGGGTCTGATGCGGGCTATCACTGGCAGTTCGGTGTCGGAGAACGCGGCCATTGCCATGGCTGGAATAGCCAAGCTCTTTGTTGGAGAGGTGGTGGAAGAGGCCCTGGACGTGTGTGAGATGTGGGGAGAGACGCCCCCGCTGCAGCCCAAGCATTTAAGGGAGGCCGTTCGCAGGTTAAAGCCCAAGGGCCTCTTCCCCAACAGCAACTGCAGAAGAATCATGTTCTAGGCCCAGGGCCAGAGGGCAGGGTCTGTTTGTGCAGGAATAAGTACCGCGTTCATCTTCCAATGACAGGAGTGTGTGCGCCGGAGCTCCCGCATCTCAGTCCCACCTGGATTTACCCACGATCTTCGTGTCTTAAAATGCGAAGTTGCCCTTACCTGGATGAAGACAGCAGATCGCTTCATAGGAGCCTTGGCTAAATCTTTGGGCATTTTAATGGGATGTGGAGGCGTTTCTCTATGTCTTTCCAGCTGGAGGAATCAAGGTGCCTGGGCCTAGAGCATCCTGTGGACAGGCAGCTGCATTCAGAGAGGGAAGCCCTTCCCAGGAGATCTGTATGGTTTCCTGCTGAAGCCTGGTGTAGCTCTGTCTTAGCTTGTAGGCTTATGTCTGGGTTCCAGTAATTGGAGCTTGCAGAAATGTTTCCCCGATTGTTGTTCTTCTGTAGAATTTCAACGCTCATATGTATTTTTGTGAGTCACCACGAAAACAGTTAAACTGATCAACCGTTTTCCAAACTGCAGACACCAAATTGAAATCACAAAGCACTTTCTTTTTTTCCCCTAAGTTGACTCTTCTATTCCTGCCTGCTGTGCTTTATGTCAGCAAGTGACCCTTTCCTGTATTATAATGCAGTATAGTATAGATGCATCATGTAAGACCAGAGAGAAACCGATTCCAAAACCACCTTTCCTCAAGCCGCCGTTTGTAACGACCATATGGGCGGTTTGAAGGACACAGAGAGAGCCTATTGACACTTCACTTTCGCTACACGTGGTGATTTTTCCAGTGCTTCCGGAGACACTGAAATTTAGTTCCAAACATTGCCTTAGAGGATTCTTCATTTTATTCATTCTACCGATCATCCACTCAGAAAATCAAACCTGAGTACGGAGACATTGGAGAAGTCGTTAAAGTATTGGACCAAGTCGGTTCGTCACGAGTGACAAAGTTATTCCACACTCTACTTGTACATACTCTGCTTTGCCTTCATGATGGCAAAGAGTAATTTTTCGCTATAGAGTAAAAACCCGAGATTTATTACGGAATCAGCGTGAACCTTCCCAGCACAGCTCACAGAGCATACGCCAAAAATTACAGTGTGATTCAGTTTCAAAAATTGTCTGTAGTGACCTGTGAATTCACAGCTCGTGAGGACATTCTTTAGTTCGGCTGAAGCCAAAAAACCTGGAACCATCGAAATGGGAAGAAGTGGAGTCTGCCAAATTCTGCCTCTTACACTTTCAGCTACCACGCCATGTTCAACTATTGTACTTGATAAGGATTGGAAACTTAAGGTACTGATAATTTCAACAGAGTTTCACCAGAGTAGTATTTCTTGTGAGAAAGCCATAATCTCATCAGTAACGCCTTTCTAAAAGATCCAACAGAAAATATGAACTAGCAACTCATCCTGACAAGGAAGTAAAACTCAGGAAAAATCCTAAGGCAGAGCAGCGTCAGGCTTCAGTGTGAAACTATCATAGTCTGGGCGCGGTGGCTCACGCCTATAGTCCCTTCACTTTGGGAAGCCAAGGTGGGGCAGATCACCTGAAGTCAGCAGTTCAAGACCAGCCTGGCCAAAATGGCGAGACCTCGTCTCTACTTGAGCAAATACAAAAATTTGCCCGGCGTGGTAGCGCGCACATTTAGTCCCAGCCACTCTGGAGGCTGAGGCAGGAGAATCCGTTGAGCCTAGGATGCCGAGGCTGCAGTGGGCTGAGATGAGGCCGCTATAATCCAGCCTGGGGGACAGAGCGAGGCACTGTCTCAGAAATAAACAAATAAAATAAAATAAACTAAAATAAAGTGACGTAAAATAAAATTGAAATAATATTTTCACGTTTCCCTCACCCAGCCCATTTTATTTTCAGAGTATTTGATAAACCGCTTTCTTCCCTGTGCGTTAGAGAGTTTTTTTTCTCAGACATCGAAGTTTTCTAATGCTCAACTTCGTAAAATGTCTCATTTTTACTGTAAATACTTTCTTTACTGTTGTGAGATGTGAACTTTGCGATTCTGTGAAGAGGACTGAATTCTGAAATGCCCCCTGCATTTCCCGCCCCTCAGAGAGTCGCCCTGTGTCTGCCCCTCCCTTGGGTATGGGCGGAAGCACGAATTGATGTGCCCGCCCGACTTCCTCATTAGATTGGGGGGTATCCTGAACCAACGGCTGCTAAGGGCTGGGTCTAATGCAGTCATCAGAGCCCTTTATAAGGGAGGACTGGACCCCCCTGTGATTACGCTCCCCTGTGGGAGATTCCCCAGCACTGGCTGTGCACACCCAGGGAGCCTCACGGCCCAGACCTGGGCAGCACGGGTAGGAGCTGAGAGCATCCTCACGGCAGCAGGCAGAACAAAAAAGTGGGCCTGGGGCTCGCAACCCTGAGGCATTGTTGAATTCTGCCACCAACTCGAATCGGATCGAAGCCAGACCCTTCTCAGGTGGAGGCAACGACCGCACAGCCAGACCCATCCTGGAGGTCCCTCGTGGGACTCTGAGCAGGAGGCAGTCACTTGGCCTAGCAGAACTTCTGACCTGTGAGCTGGTGTTTGTTTTAAATACCCAAAATTGGTGAGAATTCGTTCTGCATTGACCTAAAACTAACATACTCTCCTTCCACAAGTTTCTTCACACTGTGGAAGCGAGAAAATTCAGTGTGTGTGTTTGTGTGTGGGAAGGGGCGGCCGGGAGCCGTGTCCGGTTACGGCGAAACTGGCTCAGCAGAAACACAGCAGCTAAAATCTTTGAAAGGTTCTCATCGCAGATCCACAATCAAACCACCCCAGCCGGAACTTCTGCCTGTACAGCTGCTGTCACGGAGCAGACTTGAATCTCACCCATGGAGACCGGCAGGCAAACAGGCGTGTCTGCTGAGATGCTCGCCATGCCCCGAGGTCTGAAGGGCAGCAAGAAGGATGGAATCCCTGAGGACCTAGACGGGAACTTGGAAGCACCCAGGGATCAGGAAGGTGAGCTCAGGAGTGAGGATGTCATGGACCTCACAGAAGGTGACAGTGAGGCCTCAGCCTCAGCTCCTCCTGCAGCCAAAAGACGGAAAACACATACGAAAGGCAAGAAGGAGAGCAAGCCCACCGTGGATGCGGAGGAAGCTCAGAGGATGACAACCCTGCTGTCTGCCATGTCTGAGGAGCAGCTGTCCCGCTACGAAGTGTGTCGCCGGTCAGCGTTCCCGAGAGCACGCGTTGCGGGTCTGATGCGGGCTATCACTGGCAGTTCGGTGTCGGAGAACGCGGCCATTGCCATGGCTGGAATAGCCAAGCTCTTTGTTGGAGAGGTGGTGGAAGAGGCACTGGACGTGTGTGAGATGTGGGGAGAGACGCCCCCGCTGCAGCCCAAGCATTTAAGGGAGGCCGTTCGCAGGTTAAAGCCCAAGGGCCTCTTCCCCAACAGCAACTGCAAAAGAATCATGTTCTAGGCCCACGGCCAGAGGGCAGGGTCTGTTTGTGCAGGAATAAGTACCGCGTTCATCTTCCAATGACAGGAGTGTGTGCGCCGGAGCTCCCGCATCTCAGTCCCACCTGGATTTACCCACGATCTTCGTGTCTTAAAATGCGAAGTTGCCCTTACCTGGATGAAGACAGCAGATCGCTTCATAGGAGCCTTGGCTAAATCTTTGGGCATTTTAATGGGATGTGGAGGCGTTTCTCTATGTCTTTCCAGCTGGAGGAATCAAGGTGCCTGGGCCTAGAGCATCCCGTGGACAGGCAGCTGCATTCAGAGAGGGAAGCCCTTCCCAGGAGATCTGTATGGTTTCCTGCTGAAGCCTGGTGTAGCTCTGTCTTAGCTTGTAGGCTTATGTCTGGGTTCCAGTAATTGGAGCTTGCAGAAATGTTTCCCCGATTGTTGTTCTTCTGTAGAATTTCAACGCTCATATGTATTTTTGTGAGTCACCACGAAAACAGTTAAACTGATCAACCGTTTTCCAAACTGCAGACACCAAATTGAAATCACAAAGCACTTTCTTTTTTTCCCCTAAGTTGACTCTTCTATTCCTGCCTGCTGTGCTTTATGTCAGCAAGTGACCCTTTCCTGTATTATAATGCAGTATAGTATAGATGCATCATGTAAGACCAGAGAGAAACCGATTCCAAAACCACCTTTCCTCAAGCCGCCGTTTGCAACGACCATATGGGGGGTTTGAAGGACACAGAGAGAGCCTATTGACACTTCACTTTCGCTACACGTGGTGATTTTTCCAGTGCTTCCGGAGACACTGAAATTTAGTTCCAAACATTGCCTTAGAGGATTCTTCATTTTATTCATTCTACCGATCATCCACTCAGAAAATCAAACCTGAGTACGGAGACATTGGAGAAGTCGTTAAAGTATTGGACCAAGTCGGTTCGTCACGAGTGACAAAGTTATTCCACACTCTACTTGTACATACTCTGCTTTGCCTTCATGATGGCAAAGAGTAATTTTTCGCTATAGAGTAAAAACCCGAGATTTATTACGGAATCAGCGTGAACCTTCCCAGCACAGCTCACAGAGCATACGCCAAAAATTACAGTGTGATTCAGTTTCAAAAATTGTCTGTAGTGACCTGTGAATTCACAGCTCGTGAGGACATTCTTTAGTTCGGCTGAAGCCAAAAAACCTGGAACCATCGAAATGGGAAGAAGTGGAGTCTGCCAAATTCTGCCTCTTACACTTTCAGCTACCACGCCATGTTCAACTATTGTACTTGATAAGGATTGGAAACTTAAGGTACTGATAATTTCAACAGAGTTTCACCAGAGTAGTATTTCTTGTGAGAAAGCCATAATCTCATCAGTAACGCCTTTCTAAAAGATCCAACAGAAAATATGAACTAGCAACTCATCCTGACAAGGAAGTAAAACTCAGGAAAAATCCTAAGGCAGAGCAGCGTCAGGCTTCAGTGTGAAACTATCATAGTTTGGGCGCGGTGGCTCACGCCTATAGTCCCTTCACTTTGGGAAGCCAAGGTGGGGCAGATCACCTGAAGTCAGCAGTTCAAGACCAGCCTGGCCAAAATGGCGAGACCTCGTCTCTACTTGAGCAAATACAAAAATTTGCCCGGCGTGGTAGCGCGCACATTTAGTCCCAGCCACTCTGGAGGCTGAGGCAGGAGAATCCGTTGAGCCTAGGATGCCGAGGCTGCAGTGGGCTGAGATGAGGCCGCTATAATCCAGCCTGGGGGACAGAGCGAGGCACTGTCTCAGAAAATAAACAAAATAAAATAAAATAAACTAAAATAAAGTGACGTAAAATAAAATTGAAAATAATATTTTCACGTTTCCCTCACCCAGCCCATTTTATTTTCAGAGTATTTGATAAACCGCTTTCTTCCCTGTGCGTTAGAGAGTTTTTTTTCTCAGACATCGAAGTTTTCTAATGCTCAACTTCGTAAAATGTCTCATTTTTACTGTAAATACTTTCTTTACTGTTGTGAGATGTGAACTTTGCGATTCTGTGAAGAGGACTGAATTCTGAAATGCCCCCTGCATTTCCCGCCCCTCAGAGAGTCGCCCTGTGTCTGCCCCTCCCTTGGGTATGGGCGGAAGCACGAATTGATGTGCCCGCCCGACTTCCTCATTAGATTGGGGGGTATCCTGAACCAACGGCTGCTAAGGGCTGGGTCTAATGCAGTCATCAGAGCCCTTTATAAGGGAGGACTGGACCCCCCTGTGATTACGCTCCCCTGTGGGAGATTCCCCAGCACTGGCTGTGCACACCCAGGGAGCCTCACGGCCCAGACCTGGGCAGCACGGGTAGGAGCTGAGAGCATCCTCACGGCAGCAGGCAGAACAAACAAGTGGGCCTGGGGCTCGCAACCCTGAGGCATTGTTGAATTCTGCCACCAACTCGAATCGGATCGAAGCCAGACCCTTCTCAGGTGGAGGCAACGACCGCACAGCCAGACCCATCCTGGAGGTCCCTCGTGGGACTCTGAGCAGGAGGCAGTCACTTGGCCTAGCAGAACTTCTGACCTGTGAGCTGGTGTTTGTTTTAAATACCCAAAATTGGTGAGAATTCGTTCTGCATTGACCTAAAACTAACATACTCTCCTTCCACAAGTTTCTTCACACTGTGGAAGCGAGAAAATTCAGTGTGTGTGTTTGTGTGTGGGAAGGGGCGGCCGGGAGCCGTGTCCGGTTACGGCGAAACTGGCTCAGCAGAAACACAGCAGCTAAAATCTTTGAAAGGTTCTCATCGCAGATCCACAATCAAACCACCCCAGCCGGAACTTCTGCCTGTACAGCTGCTGTCACGGAGCAGACTTGAATCTCACCCATGGAGACCGGCAGGCAAACAGGTGTGTCTGCTGAGATGCTCGCCATGCCCCGAGGTCTGAAGGGCAGCAAGAAGGATGGAATCCCTGAGGACCTAGACGGGAACTTGGAAGCACCCAGGGATCAGGAAGGTGAGCTCAGGAGTGAGGATGTCATGGACCTCACAGAAGGTGACAGTGAGGCCTCAGCCTCAACTCCTCCTGCAGCCAAAAGACGGAAAACACATACGAAAGGCAACAGAGTTTCACCAGAGTAGTATTTCTTGTGAGAAAGCCATAATCTCATCAGTAACGCCTTTCTAAAAGATCCAACAGAAAATATGAACTAGCAACTCATCCTGACAAGGAAGTAAAACTCAGGAAAAATCCTAAGGCAGAGCAGCGTCAGGCTTCAGTGTGAAACTATCATAGTTTGGGCGCGGTGGCTCACGCCTATAGTCCCTTCACTTTGGGAAGCCAAGGTGGGGCAGATCACCTGAAGTCAGCAGTTCAAGACCAGCCTGGCCAAAATGGCGAGACCTCGTCTCTACTTGAGCAAATACAAAAATTTGCCCGGCGTGGTAGCGCGCACATTTAGTCCCAGCCACTCTGGAGGCTGAGGCAGGAGAATCCGTTGAGCCTAGGATGCCGAGGCTGCAGTGGGCTGAGATGAGGCCGCTGTAATCCAGCCTGGGGGACAGAGCGAGGCACTGTCTCAGAAATAAACAAATAAAATAAAATAAAATAAAATAAAGTGACGTAAAATAAAATTGAAATAATATTTTCACGTTTCCCTCACCCAGCCCATTTTATTTTCAGAGTATTTGATAAACCGCTTTCTTCCCTGTGCGTTAGAGAGTTTTTTTTCTCAGACATCGAAGTTTTCTAATGCTCAACTTCGTAAAATGTCTCATTTTTACTGTAAATAGTTTCTTTACTGTTGTGAGATGTGAACTTTGCGATTCTGTGAAGAGGACTGAATTCTGAAATGCCCCCTGCATTTCCCGCCCCACAGAGAGTCGCCCTGTGTCTGCCCCTCCCTTGGGTGTGGGCGGAAGCACGAATTGATGTGCCCGCCCGACTTCCTCATTAGATTGGGGGGTATCCTGAACCAATGGCTGCTAAGGGCTGGGTCTAATGCAGTCATCTGAGCCCTTTATAAGGGAGGACTGGACCCCCCTGTGATTACGCTCCCCTGTGGGAGATTCCCCAGCACTGGCTGTGCACACCCAGGGAGCCTCACGGCCCAGACCTGGGCAGCACGGGTAGGAGCTGAGAGCATCCTCACGGCAGCAGGCAGAACAAACAAGTGGGCCTGGGGCTCGCAACCCTGAGGCATTGTTGAATTCTGCCACCAACTCGAATCGGATCGAAGCCAGACCCTTCTCAGGTGGAGGCAACGACCGCACAGCCAGACCCATCCTGGAGGTCCCTCGTGGGACTCTGAGCAGGAGGCAGTCACTTGGCCTAGCAGAACTTCTGACCTGTGAGCTGGTGTTTGTTTTAAATACCCAAAATTGGTGAGAATTCGTTCTGCATTGACCTAAAACTAACATACTCTCCTTCCACAAGTTTCTTCACACTGTGGAAGCGAGAAAATTCAGTGTGTGTGTTTGTGTGTGGGAAGGGGCGGCCGGGAGCCGTGTCCGGTTACGGCGAAACTGGCTCAGCAGAAACACAGCAGCTAAAATCTTTGAAAGGTTCTCATCGCAGATCCACAATCAAACCACCCCAGCCGGAACTTCTGCCTGTACAGCTGCTGTCACGGAGCAGACTTGAATCTCACCCATGGAGACCGGCAGGCAAACAGGCGTGTCTGCTGAGATGCTCGCCATGCCCCGAGGTCTGAAGGGCAGCAAGAAGGATGGAATCCCTGAGGACCTAGACGGGAACTTGGAAGCACCCAGGGATCAGGAAGGTGAGCTCAGGAGTGAGGATGTCATGGACCTCACAGAAGGTGACAGTGAGGCCTCAGCCTCAGCTCCTCCTGCAGCCAAAAGACGGAAAACACATACGAAAGGCAAGAAGGAGAGCAAGCCCACCGTGGATGCGGAGGAGGCTCAGAGGATGACAACCCTGCTGTCTGCCATGTCTGAGGAGCAGCTGTCCCGCTACGAAGTGTGTCGCCGGTCAGCGTTCCCGAGAGCACGCGTTGCGGGTCTGATGCGGGCTATCACTGGCAGTTCGGTGTCGGAGAACGCGGCCATTGCCATGGCTGGAATAGCCAAGCTCTTTGTTGGAGAGGTGGTGGAAGAGGCCCTGGACGTGTGTGAGATGTGGGGAGAGACGCCCCCGCTGCAGCCCAAGCATTTAAGGGAGGCCGTTCGCAGGTTAAAGCCCAAGGGCCTCTTCCCCAACAGCAACTGCAAAAGAATCATGTTCTAGGCCCAGGGCCAGAGGGCAGGGTCTGTTTGTGCAGGAATAAGTACCGCGTTCATCTTCCAATGACAGGAGTGTGTGCGCCGGAGCTCCCGCATCTCAGTCCCACCTGGATTTACCCACGATCTTCGTGTCTTAAAATGCGAAGTTGCCCTTACCTGGATGAAGACAGCAGATCGCTTCATAGGAGCCTTGGCTAAATCTTTGGGCATTTTAATGGGATGTGGAGGCGTTTCTCTATGTCTTTCCAGCTGGAGGAATCAAGGTGCCTGGGCCTAGAGCATCCCGTGGACAGGCAGCTGCATTCAGAGAGGGAAGCCCTTCCCAGGAGATCTGTATGGTTTCCTGCTGAAGCCTGGTGTAGCTCTGTCTTAGCTTGTAGGCTTATGTCTGGGTTCCAGTAATTGGAGCTTGCAGAAATGTTTCCCCGATTGTTGTTCTTCTGTAGAATTTCAACGCTCATATGTATTTTTGTGAGTCACCACGAAAACAGTTAAACTGATCAACCGTTTTCCAAACTGCAGACACCAAATTGAAATCACAAAGCACTTTCTTTTTTTCCCCTAAGTTGACTCTTCTATTCCTGCCTGCTGTGCTTTATGTCAGCAAGTGACCCTTTCCTGTATTATAATGCAGTATAGTATAGATGCATCATGTAAGACCAGAGAGAAACCGATTCCAAAACCACCTTTCCTCAAGCCGCCGTTTGTAACGACCATATGGGCGGTTTGAAGGACACAGAGAGAGCCTATTGACACTTCACTTTCGCTACACGTGGTGATTTTTCCAGTGCTTCCGGAGACACTGAAATTTAGTTCCAAACATTGCCTTAGAGGATTCTTCATTTTATTCATTCTACCGATGATCCACTCAGAAAATCAAACCTGAGTACGGAGACATTGGAGAAGTCGTTAAAGTATTGGACCAAGTCGGTTCGTCACGAGTGACAAAGTTATTCCACACTCTACTTGTACATACTCTGCTTTGCCTTCATGATGGCAAAGAGTAATTTTTCGCTATAGAGTAAAAACCCGAGATTTATTACGGAATCAGCGTGAACCTTCCCAGCACAGCTCACAGAGCATACGCCAAAAATTACAGTGTGATTCAGTTTCAAAAATTGTCTGTAGTGACCTGTGAATTCACAGCTCGTGAGGACATTCTTTAGTTCGGCTGAAGCCAAAAAACCTGGAACCATCGAAATGGGAAGAAGTGGAGTCTGCCAAATTCTGCCTCTTACACTTTCAGCTACCACGCCATGTTCAACTATTGTACTTGATAAGGATTGGAAACTTAAGGTACTGATAATTTCAACAGAGTTTCACCAGAGTAGTATTTCTTGTGAGAAAGCCATAATCTCATCAGTAACGCCTTTCTAAAAGATCCAACAGAAAATATGAACTAGCAACTCATCCTGACAAGGAAGTAAAACTCAGGAAAAATCCTAAGGCAGAGCAGCGTCAGGCTTCAGTGTGAAACTATCATAGTCTGGGCGCGGTGGCTCACGCCTATAGTCCCTTCACTTTGGGAAGCCAAGGTGGGGCAGATCACCTGAAGTCAGCAGTTCAAGACCAGCCTGGCCAAAATGGCGAGACCTCGTCTCTACTTGAGCAAATACAAAAATTTGCCCGGCGTGGTAGCGCGCACATTTAGTCCCAGCCACTATGGAGGCTGAGGCAGGAGAATCCGTTGAGCCTAGGATGCCGAGGCTGCAGTGGGCTGAGATGAGGCCGCTATAATCCAGCCTGGGGGACAGAGCGAGGCACTGTCTCAGAAATAAACAAATAAAATAAAATAAACTAAAATAAAGTGACGTAAAATAAAATTGAAATAATATTTTCACGTTTCCCTCACCCAGCCCATTTTATTTTCAGAGTATTTGATAAACCGCTTTCTTCCCTGTGCGTTAGAGAGTTTTTTTTCTCAGACATCGAAGTTTTCTAATGCTCAACTTCGTAAAATGTCTCATTTTTACTGTAAATACTTTCTTTACTGTTGTGAGATGTGAACTTTGCGATTCTGTGAAGAGGACTGAATTCTGAAATGCCCCCTGCATTTCCCGCCCCTCAGAGAGTCGCCCTGTGTCTGCCCCTCCCTTGGGTATGGGCGGAAGCACGAATTGATGTGCCCGCCCGACTTCCTCATTAGATTGGGGGGTATCCTGAACCAACGGCTGCTAAGGGCTGGGTCTAATGCAGTCATCAGAGCCCTTTATAAGGGAGGACTGGACCCCCCTGTGATTACGCTCCCCTGTGGGAGATTCCCCAGCACTGGCTGTGCACACCCAGGGAGCCTCACGGCCCAGACCTGGGCAGCACGGGTAGGAGCTGAGAGCATCCTCACGGCAGCAGGCAGAACAAAAAAGTGGGCCTGGGGCTCGCAACCCTGAGGCATTGTTGAATTCTGCCACCAACTCGAATCGGATCGAAGCCAGACCCTTCTCAGGTGGAGGCAACGACCGCACAGCCAGACCCATCCTGGAGGTCCCTCGTGGGACTCTGAGCAGGAGGCAGTCACTTGGCCTAGCAGAACTTCTGACCTGTGAGCTGGTGTTTGTTTTAAATACCCCAAATTGGTGAGAATTCGTTCTGCATTGACCTAAAACTAACATACTCTCCTTCCACAAGTTTCTTCACACTGTGGAAGCGAGAAAATTCAGTGTGTGTGTTTGTGTGTGGGAAGGGGCGGCCGGGAGCCGTGTCCGGTTACGGCGAAACTGGCTCAGCAGAAACACAGCAGCTAAAATCTTTGAAAGGTTCTCATCGCAGATCCACAATCAAACCACCCCAGCCGGAACTTCTGCCTGTACAGCTGCTGTCACGGAGCAGACTTGAATCTCACCCATGGAGACCGGCATGCAAACAGTGTGTCTGCTGATATGCTCGCCATGCCCCGATCATCCACTCAGAAAATCAAACCTGAGTACGGAGCCATTGGAGAAGTCGTTAAAGTATTGGACCAAGTCGGTTCGTCACGAGTGACAAAGTTATTCCACACTCTACTTGTACATACTCTGCTTTGCCTTCATGATGGCAAAGAGTAATTTTTCGCTATAGAGTAAAAACCCGAGATTTATTACGGAATCAGCGTGAACCTTCCCAGCACAGCTCACAGAGCATACGCCAAAAATTACAGTGTGATTCAGTTTCAAAAATTGTCTGTAGTGACCTGTGAATTCACAGCTCGTGAGGACATTCTTTAGTTCGGCTGAAGCCAAAAAACCTGGAACCATCGAAATGGGAAGAAGTGGAGTCTGCCAAATTCTGCCTCTTACACTTTCAGCTACCACGCCATGTTCAACTATTGTACTTGATAAGGATTGGAAACTTAAGGTACTGATAATTTCAACAGAGTTTCACCAGAGTAGTATTTCTTGTGAGAAAGCCATAATCTCATCAGTAACGCCTTTCTAAAAGATCCAACAGAAAATATGAACTAGCAACTCATCCTGACAAGGAAGTAAAACTCAGGAAAAATCCTAAGGCAGAGCAGCGTCAGGCTTCAGTGTGAAACTATCATAGTTTGGGCGCGGTGGCTCACGCCTATAGTCCCTTCACTTTGGGAAGCCAAGGTGGGGCAGATCACCTGAAGTCAGCAGTTCAAGACCAGCCTGGCCAAAATGGCGAGACCTCGTCTCTACTTGAGCAAATACAAAAATTTGCCCGGCGTGGTAGCGCGCACATTTAGTCCCAGCCACTCTGGAGGCTGAGGCAGGAGAATCCGTTGAGCCTAGGATGCCGAGGCTGCAGTGGGCTGAGATGAGGCCGCTATAATCCAGCCTGGGGGACAGAGCGAGGCACTGTCTCAGAAATAAACAAATAAAATAAAATAAAATAAAATAAAGTGACGTAAAATAAAATTGAAATAATATTTTCACGTTTCCCTCACCCAGCCCATTTTATTTTCAGAGTATTTGATAAACCGCTTTCTTCCCTGTGCGTTAGAGAGTTTTTTTTCTCAGACATCGAAGTTTTCTAATGCTCAACTTCGTAAAATGTCTCATTTTTACTGTAAATAGTTTCTTTACTGTTGTGAGATGTGAACTTTGCGATTCTGTGAAGAGGACTGAATTCTGAAATGCCCCCTGCATTTCCCGCCCCACAGAGAGTCGCCCTGTGTCTGCCCCTCCCTTGGGTGTGGGCGGAAGCACGAATTGATGTGCCCGCCCGACTTCCTCATTAGATTGGGGGGTATCCTGAACCAATGGCTGCTAAGGGCTGGGTCTAATGCAGTCATCTGAGCCCTTTATAAGGGAGGACTGAACCCCCCTGTGATTACGCTCCCCTGTGGGAGATTCCCCAGCACTGGCTGTGCACACCCAGGGAGCCTCACGGCCCAGACCTGGGCAGCACGGGTAGGAGCTGAGAGCATCCTCACGGCAGCAGGCAGAACAAACAAGTGGGCCTGGGGCTCGCAACCCTGAGTCATTGTTGAATTCTGCCACCAACTCGAATCGGATCGAAGCCAGACCCTTCTCAGGTGGAGGCAACGACCGCACAGCCAGACCCATCCTGGAGGTCCCTCGTGGGACTCTGAGCAGGAGGCAGTCACTTGGCCTAGCAGAACTTCTGACCTGTGAGCTGGTGTTTGTTTTAAATACCCCAAATTGGTGAGAATTC